>NC_000015.10:24488995-24792025 GCF_000001405.40 Homo sapiens | reverse complement strand
CAATTACTTTATTTTTAAAGTAAATTTAATGCAGCCCAAGTGTACAGTGTTTATATAGTTTACAGTAGTGTAAAGTATGCCATAGGCCCTCACTTTCCTACTCACTGACTGACCCAGAGGAACATCCAGTCTTGCAAACTTCGTTCATGATAAGTGCCCTATACAGGTGTACAATTTAAAAAATATATACTTTTTCTTTTTTTTGAGATGGAGTTTTGCTCTTGTTGCCCAGGCTGGAGTGCAATGGCGCGATCTCTGCTCACTGCAACCTCCACCTCCCAGGTTCAAGTGATTCTCCTGCCTCATCCTCCCGAGTAGCTGGGATTACAGGCATGCGCCACCATGCCCGGCTAAGATTGTATTTTTAGGGAAGACGGGGTTTCTCCATGTTGGTCAGGCTGGTCTCAAACTCCCAACCTCAGGTGATCCCCCCGCCTTGGCCTCCCAAAGTGCTGGAATTACAGGCATGAGCCACTGCGCCTGGCCATAAAAAAGATTTTGTACTATATTTTTTGCTGTGACTTTTCTAACATCTATGTATGTTTAGATATACAAATACTTACTTTGTTAGCGCTGCATACAGTATTAAGTATAGCAACATGCTACATACGTTTGTAGTCTGTGAGCAATAGGCTATACCATATAGCCTAAGTGTGTAGTAGATGGCACAACCTATTACAGTTTGCGTAAGTACACTGTATGATGGTCCCAGAATGATAAAACTGCCCAACAAACATTTATAAGAATGTATAATGTATCCTCTTCATTAAGTGAAACATGACTGTAGTTTAATCAACAGGGACATTATCCTTTCTTTTAGGTGCATCTTAAATATTTCATTCATTGACACACAGTGGCTGACACCCATCGAGACTCTTGCTGATACTGTGCAAGACCAATCTGACCTCCCCTCCCTTTAGTGTCACAAATGCCAGTTCAATTATCTTCATCTAAGCATTTCACTTTCATTATTTTTTCATCTTGGCAACTTGAGGCAAATAGTCAGGGATACAGTAATCACTGAGTAATTGCAGAAGGCAGGAATCAATTTTTTTTTTTTTTTGAGACAGAGTCTCACTTTGTCGCCAGGCTGGAGTGCAGTGGCACAATCTTGGCTCACTGCAATCTCCGCCTCCTGGGCTCAAGCAATTCTCCTGCCTCAGCCTCCTTAGTAGCTGTGATTACAAGCACGTGCCACCATGCCCAGCTAATTTTTGTATTTTTAGTAGAGACAGGGTTTCACCATGTTGGCCAGGATGGTCTCGATATCCTGACCTCGTGATCTGCCTGCCTCGGCCTCCCAAAGTGCTGGGATTATAGGTGTGAGCCACTGCACCCGGCCTGGAATCAAAATATTGTAGTAAAATTCATAGGGTTTAATACGCCTTAACAAATGCAAAAAAAGTGGACAAATTATGTGAACAATGGTTTGTGAGACACTGTGCATGAAGCAACGAAGGACAGTGATACCTGTGGGATATGAAATAGTGACATGAGACCTACTATCGCCTCAAGGTACTTCTTCAAGATAATTTCCTGCTGTGATGTGGCAAGGATGTTTGGAGACTTTTTGTGTTGATACGATTAAACTAGGGTCTGGAAAAACAAGTTTGCCTAATTTCACTGCAGTAGCAGTCCACAAGAAAAAAACAAAGACCCTTGAAAATACATTTGAATACACCTGGTCTTCCACCTGTTCATCTTATTAATGTCTGCAGAAAGAGGCAGTCACATGACACAACCATCTTGCAACAAGCCCATATGAAAAGTGAAACATTAGAATTGAAGGAAATGTGTATAAATAGGTTGAACCACCACATCTGGACCCAAATCTACATTTCGTACCATATGTTGTCATTTGTGGCTGACAAAGATTACATTTTTTAAAATGAATGCTCTCTGGCTTGCAATGGTTCGATTGAAGATATTTTGACTGTAGGACGGCAGAAAACCAATACACCTTGTATAGAAACCATATTTCAATTACCCACGTGACCACTCTGTTTTTCACAGATTTATTCACTAAATTACATGAACTATTTAACGCTTTCTTATATAATAGGTTTCATATTAGACAATTTTGACCCACTATAGGCTAATGTAAGTGTTCTGAATACGTTAAGGTAGGCTAGGCTGAGCTATGATGTTAGGTTAGTGAGGTGATTTAAATGCATTTTCAACTTATGATATTTTCAACTTTTGATGGGTTTACGCGAATGTCATCCCAAAGTAAGTTCAGAGAGCATCTATAATTTAAAGGGAGTTTTCTTTTTTGTGGGGAATAGGGGTCACTCTGTCACTCAGGCTGGAGTGCTGTGGTGCGATCATAGCTCACTGTAGCCTTGAAATCATGGGCTCAAGTCATCCTCCTTCCTCACCCTCCTGAGTAGCCAGGACTATAGGTTTGTGCCACGATGCCTAGCTAATTTTTAATTTTTTTCTGTAGGGATAAGGTCTCACTATATTGCCCAAGCTGGTCTTGGACTTCTGGCCTCGAGTGATCCACCTGCCTTGGTCTCCCAAACTGCTAGGATTAGACAGGTGAGCCATTGCGCTTGGCCGAGTTTTCTATTTATAAGAACAGAAAAAATTTCTCATGCAAACAAGGAAAAACTGTTATGTCTTATCTCCTCTCTTTGTTTCCCTAGAACACTTCCAGTTTCTTTCCAATTTAAGAATAATCTTGTGCCTGTCCTTCACTGCATAAATATCACAGTCTATACAATTTGCATGGAGCACTGGGTTACTCTTAATTTACAAGGAAATTAAGGTTAGGAGTGCCAGGTTATCAAATAGAGTAAAGATGAAGGGTACTGTAGATAAAACTAAAGTCTGCCCTTTAAATTCTCTGTGTAGAAGACTGAAACTAGAGTCCCTGCAACATTGCCTGGCAAATAAATGTCTATCTATTAATTCAGAATAAAAATATCCATAATGTATCAATACTCTTGGTCTCTTCATTTCTCACATCTCATAAATCTTGAACAATTGCCAACCATAATCATTTTAAAATCATTATATTGAGTCTTTTGTTACTTGTATAGCAGCCATTTGCTATTGAGTCTTGCAGACTCACCCTGCAGGAAGGCATCCTTCACTAGAGAATGTGTTCCTCTCAATACAATCCTGTTGGTATTTGCACAGTCCACATTTCAGGTGCTAAAGAAATCCCAGACTGCTTTCTGGAGCCCTGAATTGTTTCTTCAGATGGAAATCCCTGTTGAATCCGGGTTGAGGAATCCCATATTCACTACCCAGGACACTCAGCCATCGATTCACTCAGAGGAGTATCAAAGGTTCAGCTTGAAACAATAAACAACAACATAGAAGTGAAATAGAAAAGTGGGTAAAATATTGATTGAATCAAGGAAAATAAAATGTAAAAAACTTTAAGCATGAAAACCTTTTAAAAATATTTTGCTAGTTGATAATAGAAAATCAATAAAGTTTGTAGTTCTCTTCCTACAAGACGATAGTATCGAACTATATGCAGGCTGGAGATGGATGACAGCACCACCTGAGTGGTATTTTTATTTCAAGGCAAACCAGAAGCAATTTTTGGTAATCTCTCATCAAAGAGTAGGAAAAGGATACATATCTATATTATGGCTTATCTGTACAAAGACATGTATTCACAAAAACAAGTTGGAAGGCATCAAAGAAAAGACTTAGCCAATGTCTATAGCGTTTGTGTAAGACAAAAAGCAAACAATATGAGGACATTCTAACTTCCAGAGCAGCAAAGTGGCTTTCACTGCATTCAGAATAATAATCTCAGTGTTCTGTATACACAAATTAATTCCTTGTGTACCTTTCATAATTAGAACAAACTAAGCCATATAATGAAAACAATCGCAGCTCTTTTAAAGCATGTGATTCTGAGCAAATTTTGACTTGTGATTTTCAGAAAAGTCTCTATCCCTCTCCTTTTCAACCACAGGTATTTCAGAGCAAATTTCTGTGGAACACTAAAATAAATAATGTGTAACATTTATCTTTCCTAATAAAAGTGATATTTCCATTCAATTGGTAAAATGATACTTGAAAAGATGAAAATAATTAAAAGTATATTTAAAAAGTTATGAATACATTTTTAAATAAAGGAAAGAAAGGCATGAATAGAGAATGCAAAAATGTTAACTTGCTTTTAGATGATGTTTATGTGAGATTAAAAAAAGAAAACTGCAAACAAATGTTAAAGGTATTTTTATGCCAAAACAAACAAACAAACCCAAAACAAAAACAAGACTAAATATTACCAGGAAAGCTTGAAGTTGTAAAAGGTGTCCTTCATCAGCAAGCTGAATGAATGTCTGAACTCTAGAGACAAACACAGTCAACCTCAAGGTACTTCTTTTCCTGTAGGGCTTTAGGTCAGATTCAGTATCATGGGAGGGGTAATAGGCCTAACTCTTAAGATGTTGTGAGAATTGAATGAACTAATGATACATAACACTTGTAGACTAACGGCTGGTCAATACGCCAACCACAAAGTCAGTACTGCTAATACTGACAGTGTTTTCTATGTAAGTGAAAGGTGTATCATTTGCATCAATTGCATCAATTGTGAAATGCACCATTATTTTTTGTCACAATGAAAGAATAAAACCATTGACAAACTGTGACACAAATACTTCTTATGACTTAGAATATTTACCTCATAATTACTGATGATATCTCTTTTCAACTTATACAAATGTGGATATTTGTATTATATCATTCTTATTCAGGGAGATGAAAAATTATGCAAAATACATTAAGAAAAGTATTATTAAATTTCTTCCATTTGGATCAAACTCTTCTGAGTCACTTTTAATCTTATCTTGCCTGACTTTTCCCCCCTTATTGTCTGTGCTAATCAGAAGCATCTGGTGATGCTGCATTCCTTGTGAGATTCCTATGATACTTTTTGTGAGATTATCTTTCTAATCCACTGCTACTCTGCAAGTTTTGATGTTGATGATATTATTGGAAGCTGTCAAGGAAGCTTTTTAGACCAGATTCAGGTGACACATACAAAGACAACCACATAAAGTTTGTGTCGTGGCCAGCAGTGTTTTGATACGATGAACTTTTAGACGGATCTCTATTTGAAAGGTGTGAAAATGTGCATTTTAGCATTAGTGGATACACTATTTTTCTCTGTGACTGCTCATTTCTCAGTGGAATATTATGGTTGTTGATCTGCTGTAGTTTGTTCTTTTATTGAGGAAACATGCTCAAATATATTTTCATATAAATTAACCAAGTCCTTTTACCTTCTGCATGGTTCTTAGGGAGTTAATAGTGGATTACTGGAATTCCTATTTTATATGTTGCAAATTCTGATAATTTTACTTTGCCTCAGCATCTATTTTGTATAACACTTAACTGGCATATACCAGAAGCAGGACTCAGTCATCCTTGACACAGTTTCAAGTTCCTCAATTCCTCCCAGTTCCTGAAAGTTGTTGATACAGTTACATTGACTTGTCCCACAGAGTACACCTACTCCATGTGAACTGAGCAGATATGCAGCAGTAGCCCCCTGTCAGTCATAGTGTGACTCTGTGGAACTCATGCTTGTTTCCTGCAAACCCAGAAATTAGAACTCCCCATGAGAAACCTGCATGTGTAATGCAGTGGATCCCAATAAAGGCTTCAGCGACTGGGCTTCCCTCTGACTCTCTCTCTTTGCTCCCTACTGGCTTGTTGTGAGCCTGTGTCCAGGAAGGCTCCCCCTTCTCATTGGTCACGTAAGGCATGCTGACCTCTTCTCTCTGGGATGTGTAAAGAATGCACTGCTCATGCTATTTCATGTGTTTTGCTGAGTTGCCTCCTCTATGTCTTACCTGACGAACACACTTGAACCTAAGTGTTTTCCCAGCCAAAGCTCCCTGACAGCGTGGCGGCTTTGGCGTGGGTAAACCATACACAGATCACACAAGAACCACGAGGGAATCTTCCAATATAATCAAGTTTCCTGTGATAGGGACACCTGGTCACAGGTCAGATACTTATGCATTTGGCCACCTATGAAAAGTACATAGTACATATCCTGTGAAAAGTACATAGTAGATATCCATGACCAAATTGTATTAAGTCTCCTTTGGGCAGGGCTGGAGTTTATAGACACTGTCCAGAGGAATACCTTAAGATCAAACTAGAAATAACAAAAGTACAAAATATGTGGAGAAATAATTTTATAAGATACAATTCAGAAAAACTATTGAGAAGGAAGACAGGTATGGCATAGAGGTAGCTGAATGTTTGCACTAGACTGGCTGCTTTCTACAGACTTAGAAAAAACTGTACTTGAGAATTTCTGCCCTTATCTTAGAAATATGAACAATAGTCTCTGTAGGCTGCATTCCACATCCAATTCTTTAATCCAGAACAATTGAGTATTCATTTTTTTTCCTCCACTCCTCTTTCTAATCTCATGGATAGTGATCATAGAAATCACTCTTGATCAGTCACTGCAGAAGTAGATGTTTTGCGGCTTTCATAAAACTTGTTCTTTGGATTAATTGTTACTCTGGTCAACTCTCCTGTTAGCTACTTAAAAAAACGGAATGGGTTTTTGTGTTTCTTCATGAATATATTAAGTGAAGAAGAAGCGTAATTTATAATTTTGGATGTTGAGTGTGTTTGCAACTAGACTTTCAGGTTGTAGAGGTTCATTTAAGTTAATAGCATGTTTGGATGTCATACATATAAGCTATGTATTCATTGCACTCTAACTTCTATTCAGACTCTTGTGTGGAAACAGGGTGTTGGGTTCTTGCCTCATAATGTGCTCTTATTTGGGAAGTTTAAATGTTTACATTGACATCTTTCTGAGAAATCTGCTGGGCAGTCTAATCTCAGTGAAACCAGCTTACAAGTTGTTTAGGAGGTGATGCTTTCATAGTAATATTTGGGGTTTTGCTGCTTAGCACTGTGTCCTCTGTGCCTGTAATATCATGTTAGCACAATTTTTAGTCTCTCACCATGAGGCGTTAGAGCTCATCAACGTGCTTGCCATTTTTCAGTGGGTCACTCCTTGTGCACATCTACTGTGTATACTTAATGGACTGCCATTCTGACTTTTTTTGGTCAGTGTCAGCAGAAATTGGCTTAATCTATCAGGTATATAAAGTTATTATTTTTTTCACAGCCCACCCACGACCATGATGATATCTATTCTGTGGCTGTTGGAATTGTCATTTGGCACTATAATGTGATACTCTAACTTGTATTAACCTGAATCACTCCCTCTTAGTTGAGAAAGCGGAGGGACTCCTTTTGGCTCCTTCATTTGCAAGACAACAAGGGCTCCTTACCCACCCCCTTCCTCAAGGACTTAACTTCTGCCAGCTGACTCCCAGGACATCAAAAAATGCAAATAACTGATAAGATGCTATGGCAAGCTAGGTCCGCAGTTCCCAGGAATTTGTCCAGATGATAGCACCCTAAGCCCCTGTGTTCGTGTCTGGTTAGTAGCCCAGTGTCTATCACCTTGTGATGGATTTAAAGCCCCTGCACCTGGAACTGTTTGCTTTTCTGTAACCATTTGTCTTTTTAACTTTTTTGCCCGTTTTACTTCTGTAAGATTGCTACAGTTAAGCTCCCCGCTCTCCTTTCTAAACCAAAGTATAAAAGAAAATCAAGCCCCTTCTTCGGGGCCGAGAGAATTTCAAGCATTAGCTGTCTCTCGGTCGCCAGCTAATAAAGGACTCCTGAATTCATCTCAAAGTGTGGCATTTCTCTCTAACTTGCTTGGTTACAACAATAATTCCACAACGAAATCTCAGCAGAACACATGCTCCCAATAAATTCATGGTGGAGTCTATAGAATAAAATAACTTCATTATCACAGGGTTCTCTCAAAGTCTTGAAGGTATAGTTGTCATGTGAAAATTTAAAGAAGGATTCCTTGCACATGGAAACACTCTCCTAAATGCAGAAATATGACTTATGTTCCTTGTCATTGGTATCTCTCAATCTTTCCTTCTAATGTCCTGAATCCCTGCCTTCCAAAAAGGCTTTAGTGGGATCTTGTAGATAAACTATCTGACAACTTCTTAAAATGGGGTTTTCTGTGATATGTGAGACACAGGAAGCTTTCTTTGAAGAAGTGATTACTGACACTCAGGAAAGTGGTGACTATGTAATGGGAAGCCAGTGGGAAAAAAGAAAGAGGAGAAAAGTTCCTGGAGCTTGATGGTGTCTTTCTGAAGCAGATGCACCTGAATTTAGAATTGTGAATAGATAAGGAAGATGCTTTCCTATTCTCTCCCTATGTATATGACCATCATCCAATGAATCATCATTACCTGATGGAGGTTATTTGTTTATGTCTGTGTAGTTTTTTTTTGGTACCAAAACAACACTTTTAAAATAAGATTTTAATTGTGAAATGCTTAAAAAATATACAAGACTCAAACTACTTTGTTGGGAACAGACCCCCAAATCTGGCCATAAACTGGCCCCAAAACTGGCCATAAACAAAATCTCTGCAGCACTGTGACATGTTTGTGATGGCCATGATGCCCACGCTGAAGGTTGTGGGTTTACCGGGATGAGGGCAAGGAACACCTGGTCCACCCAGGGCGGAAAACCGCTTAAAGGCATTCCTAAATCACAAACAATGGCATGAGTGATCTGTGCCTTAAGGACATGTTCCTGCTGCAGATAACTAGCCAGACCCATCCCTTCCTTTTGGCCCATCCCTTTGTTTCCCATGGGGGAATACTTTTAGTAAATCTATAATCTATAGAAACAATGCTTATCACTGGCTTGCTGTCAATAAATATGTGGGTAAGTCTCTGTTCGGGGCTCTCAGCTCTGAAGGCTGTGAGACCCCTGATTTCCCACTCCACACCCTACATTTCTGTGTGTGTGTCTTTAATTCCTCTAGTGCCACAGGATTATGGTCTCCACGACCGAGCTGGTCTCAGCACTACTTAATTACAAGAGTATAAGTAACAACATAAAAAATGGGCAAAGGACTTCAAAATAAGACATACAACTGTCCAACAGACATATGAAAAAATTCTTCAACATTTGTAATCATCAGAGAAGTGTAAATTAAAATCATAATGAGATATTGGCTCACACCTGCTACTTTGGCTATTGTCAGGATGATGAAATATAACAAATGTTGGTGAGGAAATGAAAAAAGACAAACTTTGTACATTGTAGGTGGGAATGTCAATTAGTACAGATATTTTAGAAAATACTATGGAAGTGTCACAAGAAATTAAAAATAGAATTACTATATGATATAGCAATCTCTCTCCAGGGTATATGCCAAAAAAATTGGAATCACTATGTTGAAGAGATGTCTTTACTCTCATGTTCATTTCAGCATTATTTACATTAGCCAAGATTTGGAAACAATTTAAGAGCTCATTAATGGATAAATGGATTAACAAAAATGTGGTACATATACACAATGTGATACCATTCAGCCTTAAAAATATAGGAAATTCTGTCATTTGCAACAACTTGGATGAACCTACAGTACATTATGCTAGGTAAAATAGGCTAGACACAGAGGGACGATTACCATATGATCTCAATTATATGTGGAATCTTAGAAGTCAAACTCATAGAAGTGGAGAATCATATGGTGGTTACCACAGGTTGTTATGAAGGGGTGGTTGGGGAAGGAGAGACATTGGTCAAAGGGTTTGAAGTTTCTATTAGACAGGAGGAATAATGTCTGGTGATTTATTTCACAGCATGGTGAATATAGATAATAAGAATGTGTTGTATATTTCCCAAAACAGCTAAAAGAGATGATTTTAAATGTTCTCACCACAAAGAAATAATAAATATTTGAGGTAATGGATATGATGATTAGCCTAATTTGACCATTCCACAATGTATACATATAACAAAACACCACAATTAACCCCATGAGTAAGAGTACATACACTTATTATCTGACAATTAAAAATAACAATTAATTTTAGATTACTGAAAGGTATAAGGAGAATATAAAGAGTTTTGTATACCATTCAGCTTCTTGCAATCTTAACATCTTAAATAGCCATAACATATTTGTGAAAACAAATAAAATTGAATGTGGTAAAAACCATTAACTGAAATACAGACTGTCTTTATACTTTACCCGATTTTACATTAATGTCACTTTTTCTGTCAATGATTCATTCCAGATGCCACAGTACATTAACTGTCAGGTTTATTACTTATTTATTGCTGTATAACTCATTTATACAGCAAAGTGCCTCAAAACCACACACACACATATTACTCACTGTTTCTTTAGGGCATGAATCCTGGTGTAGATGATGTCTAGGCTGAAGTCTCAGCTGAAGGTTCAGCTGGGGAGGAATCATCTTCCAAGCTCACAGATTGTTGTTAGGATTCAATTACATGCCCAGGGTGAGATTACTTCACTAGTAAATTATACCAAAACTTTAAAGAATTTATAACAATCCTTCACTAACTCCTCTCCCAAGAGAAGAAGAAAACAAACAAAGGAACGAAAACCAAAAAGGAAAAAGAGAGCACTTCCCAATGCATTTTATGAAGTCAGTTAACCTGATACTACAACTGGAAAAAGACATTGTAAGAAAGGAAAATTAGAGACCAACATGCCTTATAAATACGAGAATCCTCAAGGAAAAACTATCAAAACACAAAAGCACCGTAGACAAAGGATATACACTATGACCAAGGGTATTTATTCCAGCATTGCAAGTTTGGATAAACATACAAAAACAATTAGTAAAATATACTATCTAAATAGTATAAAGAGTAAAAACACATGATCACTTAAGATGAAGAATAAGCATTTGACTAATTAAAACCCCATTTATGATTGGAGCATTTATGAAAACATTGAGCAAATGAAGCATAGAAGGGAACTTTGCCTATAAAGAGCATCAATTAAAAATTCACATAGAAACATACAATGTCATGGAAGCCTCAGTAATTTCTCCAGGATTAGAAATAAGACACTGAGGTCCACTCTTGCCACTTCTATTCAACAGAGTATTGGAGGATGTAGCCAGGACAATTAGGCTACAAAAAATGTAAGACATTCACAATAGAAAGGAAGAAGTTAAACCATCTTTGTTTGCAAATGACATAATCCTGTGTATAGAAAATCCTAAGGAATTCAGTAAAGTAAGATTAGAATCTAAAAACAAGTTCAGTAACTTTGCAGTATACAAAGGTGGTTCAGGCCTGTAATCCCAGCGCTTTGGGAGGCCGAGGCAGGTGGATCGCCTGAGGTCAGGAGTTTTGAGACCAGCCTGGCCAACATGGTGAAACCCTGTCTCTACTAAAAATACAAAAATTAGCTGGGCATAGTGGTGGGCACCTGTAATCCCAGCTACTCAGGAGGCTGAGGCAGGTGAATCGCTTGAACCCAGGAGGTGGAGGTTGCAGTGAGCCAAGATCAGGCCATTGCACTCCAGCCTGAGCGACAGAGTGAGATACCATCTAAAAAAAAAAATCAATTCTATTTCTGGCCAGGCATGATGGCTCACACCTGTAGTTCTGGTACTTTGGGAGGCTAAGGCAGGAGGATCGCTTGAGGCCAGGAATTCAAGAAAAGCCTGGGCAACCTGGTGAGACCTTGTCTCTACAAAAAAATTCAAAAAATTAGCTACGCTTAGTGGCATGCACCTGTAGCCCCACCTACTCAGGAGGCTGAGGCAGGGGAATCACTTGAGCCTGAGAGCAGGAGCCTGGAGTGAGCGATGACCAGCAATTCTGTTTCTATATACTAGCAATTAATCTAAAAATGAAAGTCAGAGGCTGGTCGGGGTGGCCCACACCTGTAATCACAGCACTTTGGGAGGCTAATTCGGGCAGATTGTTTGAGGTCTGGAGTTCGGCACCAGCCTGGCCAATATGGTGAAACCTTGTTTCTACTAAAAATACAAAACTTAGCTGGGCATGGTGGCAGGCGCCTATAATCCCAGCTCTTCGGGAGGCTGAGGCAGTAGAATCAGTTGAACCTGGGAGACGGAGGTTGCAGTGAGCCGAGATTACACCATTGCACTCCAGTCTGGGTGACAAGAGTGAGACTTCATCTCAAAAAAAAAAATAATGAAAGTCAGAAAACTGTTCCTATGTAAAAAGCTTCAAAGTGGAGATATACTTAGGAATAATTTAATGAAATCTGTGTAAAATATGTACATTGAAAACTATAAAATGTATTGAAAGATACTGAAGATGTCCTAAAAAATGTAAAAATAAAAATCCCATGATCAATGATTAGAAAACTTAATACTGTGATGATGACAATACTTCCCAAATGGATTTATGGATTTAATACAATCCATAGTAAAATACTGCTTCTTTAAAAAATGCAGTTATTGGCAAGCTACTTCTAAATTTCATATGAAAATGCAATTGCTCCGGAATAGCCAAAACTAACCCAAAAGAATACAGTTGGAGTACTTGACTCATAGTTCTTGACTTCAAAACTTATTACAAACTGATAGTAATCAAGACATTGTGGTACTGGTATAAGTTTAGCCATATGTGTTATTGGATAGAACTGAGGGTCCACAAAATTACCTTTATATTTATGGTTTAAATGATTTTAAAGATTGTGAAAGCATATCAATATGGAAAAATGTTTCTTCCAATAAACGTTGCTGGCAGAAGTGGATATCCACTTGCAGGCTGGATTCCTCCCTCACATCATATAAACAATTGGCTTAAAGTGGATCATAGGCCTAAATGTAAGAGTTAAAATGACAAAATCTATGAAAGTGAATGTATGAATTAGTCTTCACAGCCTTAGGTTAAACAATAGAGTCTAAGATATTTCATCAAAATACAAGTAACAAGCAAAAAAAAAAAAAAACAAAACCCATACATTGAACATCATCAAAACTTAAAACTTTCATTATTCAAAGTACACAATCGAGATAACCCAAACAATGGGAAAAAATGTTTGCAAATCATACACTTGATAGGGGTCTATTAGCCACAATATGTAAAATGCTCTTACAACTAAAAAATAAAAAGAAAAATATCCTAATAAATAAGGGGCAAAATTTTTGTGTGACTAGACATCTTCCCAAAGAAGTTATACAAATGTACAATGCTCAACAAATTTAGTCCTTAGTAAAACACAGATCAAATTCATTGTGTGATACACTTCACTGCTTCACTAATCTTAAAGGCATATTTATAAGAAAATGAAGGTAGTTTGCATCACTATGTACTGTTCAATATAATTTATATGACATTGCGGAAAGTTGAAATTATACTAAAATGATTAGAGGCTACTAGGAACTTGTGAGAGGAAGGTTGGAAAGGAAAATTACAGATTTCTTTCCAGCAGTGAAATTTTTCTCTATGCTACGAAAATGGTCAGTTAATGCTACTATTTGTAAAATTCTACAGAACTTTATATCACAAAGAGTGAATAAAAATGTATACAAATTAAAACATTATTGAAAGGGGCCATTCCATTGAGAAACACAGGTAAAATAATATACTTACACATTTTAATTTATAAAGTCCTTTCCTATGGGAGTATGAATGACCAACTCTGATACCAGTCTGCATATATTTTGGGACTCAACGTTTTCATAAAGGGGGCCAGTTTTCTCATTGTTAGAATGAGAGGTTATATGCAAGTAGTAAAAATAAGTAGATTCATTCATGTGGTACTGGATTAGAATTGGAGACATTAGTGGGAATACAGGTTTAAATTTATATAGATATACATAGACAAATGTAGATATATTTTTACATATGTGTTTTTGTGGAGTTAATATGCAGATATATTCCTGTCAGCTGGCAAAGCCCAGAATCAACAGATCACCTAGTAGCAATGAGTGCACCCACTGCCCAGATCATTGTTTCTAATACTAGACACCAATAAAAATAAAAACTCCTTGAAGAAATTACGAACATTAGGCTTGGGTAGGGAATCAAAACAATTAAGCTTGAACACTTTATAGTGCCAGAAAGTAATAAAATGCTAAACAATAACACAACCAACAAAGCAGTCAAACAAACAAACAAACAAACAAAAAACAAAATCAAACTGCAACAACGTAGATATATCAAAATGGTATAGGAATCATCTGAAAGACCTTACATGGCAAACTCTAAAACAATTTGAGGAACAAAATCAATAAACTAGTAATTATAGTGTGAAGTAAATATTTGTGATTTCATATATTTTATATGATATATTAAATGATGAATATAAATAATGCATGGAGCAGAATAGAGAAATTGTCCATGGTAAAGAAACATAAATGGCATTGTAGAAGCTCTGCCTAGCAGGAGGTGGAGCATGTTTTTCCAATTCTTAAATATGTGCTGGGCACAGTGACTTCTTTTTAAAAAGGTCAACATGGAAAGGGGAACAAAAATTACCTTACAATATAAAGAACTAAGATTCTTTGAAGAAATGGTGATCCCTGACCTAAATTATCTCATGGAAATTATCAAGTTAATGTCAACAGTAATAAGCATGTTGATAGTGTGTACCCTTGATATGATGTGATGAGATGGCATATTCTGTCTGTAATCTTCTTCCCTAAAACTGACAACTCCAGTCAAAACATTAGAAAAACATCAGTGAAATCCCACATGAGGGATGTCAATGACCTCAAAAGCAAGAAAGATCTAAGAAACTGTCAAAGCAAAAAGAGTCTAGGAATACATGATATCCTGGATGAAATCCTAGAACATGAAATGGACAATAAAAGAAAACTAAGAAATCTGAACAAAAGTGTGATGTTATTGAATTATAATATATAACACTAGTTTAATTTTGAGAAATTTGCAACATTAATTTAAGAGATTAATAAGAAAACTGTGTTTGGGGTATATATAAATCATCTGCACTGTCTCTGAAAGTGCTCTGTAAATATAAAAGCATTTTAAAATATTTAATAGAAAAATTAATATTTTTTAAAAAGTCACTTCCTAGTTTAATAAACAGAACATTACCAACATTGCCTCATGTGTGCAATTCTCCAATTCAATCCACTTCCTAACCCCATGAAGTTTACCAGTATTCTAAGTTTGCTAATTGACATTTCCCTTTTTTGCTTATTTTTCTAAGTTTGCATTTCTTTTTTCTCTTTTGAGATATGGTCCCTCAGCCTGGCCAACATGGTGAAACCCCATCTCTACTAAAAATACAAAAATTTGCCGGGCAGTAGTGGCACATTCCTGTAATCACAGCTACTCAAGAGGCTGAGGCAGGTGAATCACTTGAACCCAGGAGGCGGAGGTTGTGGTGAGCCAAGATCACGCCACTGCACTCCAGTCTGGGTGACAGAGTGAGACCCTGTCCCCCCACCTCCCCAAAATGAGAGATATGATCTCATTCTGTTTTCCAGGCTGTATTGCAATGGCATGAAGACGGTTCACCACAGCCTTGACTTCCTAGGCTCAAGCAATCCTCCTGCCTCAGCCTCCTGGGTAGCTGGGACTACAGGCAAGTGCCACAAACCCTGGCTAATTTTTAAAATTTATTGTAGAGATGGGGGTCTCACCATGTTGCCCAGCCTGATCTTGAACTCCTGGGCTTAAGCAATTCTCCTGCCTCAGCCTGCCAAAGGATTGGGATTACAGGCATGAACCACTGTGCCTAGCCTTACCTTACTTAATAGTATATTGTACAGTTTTTCTTGTCATCAAATTTAGACATGTTTAATTTATGCATGTCCCCAGTCTAATCATGAGAAGACATGAGACAAATCCATATTGTGGGACACCCCACAAAATTCCTGATCAGTTCTTTTCAAAAGGGTCAAAGTCATGCAAAATAGACTGAGAAACTACTGCAGATTGGAAAAGACCCGATGTGACAGGTAGACCATAAGATGGTGCTCAATGAACCCTACCTGTTGTTTTACAAAACCCTGTAGTATAATCTGCCACGCCTGACAGTGGACAGGATATGGGATGTACTTGAAACACAGACTATTACAAAGGTAATGGGATGTTACTTGAGTGAAATAATACAAATTTCTTCCTCCCAGACCTTGCATATTTTTCTGGAATTGTAACGCATGTTATGCTCTGAGACACCAAAAACAATCATGAGGCTTGTAGGAGAATACCAAAGAACATAAGGAGACATGTAGACTAGGCTCAGCTGTGTGAACAAGTGTATGTACATGGAGAAACATCTACACTGGATTAACACCCAGTCCCACAGTGCTCTTCCCTTTTTACTCCTATAATTTACAAACAGTAGCTCCCAGAATTCCTTGAAATCCACTGCCCCTTTCTCATGCCCTGGCCTGTGCCATGGACAGTCTTTTTCCTCTTCTAATTCCCCTCCTCTGCTTGGTCAAAAACCGTTCCTCAATCTTCAGAATCTCCTCCAATGTTCCTCATCCTAGAGGCCTTCCTTGTCCATCCCATTACAGGTCTCATGCCTGTCCTCTCAGTTCCCAGGGGCACGCTTCCACTTACAGTTTGGATTTTGTTAAGTTTTCTGAATTCCCACTGGACTGAAATCAGAGGACATAAATTTTAAAAATATTTTCCCCTGTGAGCCCAACACATGCAGTGGCCAAAAAGCAACACAGATTATTTTAATATTGAATTTTACATATGAATGAATCTCTCAAACTCTTTACTATATTCTTGTCTTTTCCCCAATTAACTCTATCTTTCAATCTGAAGAGGATTTGAACTTGAAAATGAACATTTTTTTTTTGCTCCTTTCTGTTCTCAGAACAGGTGTAAACCCTGCTGTCTCCCTGACTCTTCTTGTCTCCCCATTCTCAAGCCATTGTAGAGACCCTCTTATGGATCACGCTATTTCTACCTCATATGCTCCTTTTCTCTCCTGGAAAGTTTTGCCCCTTTGATCAAGGAAGATGTTCTTGTTCTGTAAGATGTAGCTCTACTAATATGGCTCCCTTAATAAATATTTCCATATCCTTCTTACTTATCATATTTCACTTTTTTGTATTATTTTCTGTCAAATGTTACAATTCTGTTAGCCTTCTTGCAGCCATGGCATAGTTTTCATTGTCTGCACATGGATGAACTTGTTTTGAAACCTTCTGCTATTTCCTTCTGTAATGTCACCTGCAGCAAAACATGCACAAAGGTGTCAGCAGGACAGGTTGAAATCACAGAGTAGTGCAGCCTCATTTACTAAGGAATGCCTCATTGCCATCTCTCTTCATGGCACAGACGGTGGAAGACATCCATGACTTCTGATTCAAAATCCAATTCAGATCAGAATTAGTTTCAAAATATTGCGAATTCATTTATGAATTACTTTTACTTTCAAGTTCATATGTACAAAATCAGACTATTATGTGTATAGCAGTTTGAGATATATGTATTTCCATTTAGATCCACCTTAAATCTTTGTTTCATTGACTTCCAGTAGGTAGCCCTCATTTAGACTCCTACAGGTACTGTACAAGGCCAATTCTGACCTCCGGTTCTAGGAACTTACAACTATATCCAGGTCCTGGTACCAGAATGGCGATCAACTCTGCCGTAATGGGAGATGAAAGGGAGCTGGAAATGGGTGTTTACAGTGTGCCGTTCATGGGATACTTCTTTTACGTGGCCAATGCCCTAAGCCATAACTGTCTGACCCATAACCAAGTGTCTGTCTAACAGGAAATGTGTTTAGAACGGCAGACGCCCTTGTGGCTCTTGTCTGACCTATGACTTGTTTCTTCCTAGGTGATCATCTCTCTGGCACTGGGAACCAGATCTTGTGTTCTCCCAGTGTCCTAGGAAAAATCAGGCCTTGGGTAACCCCCGGTTCTTCAAATGGAAGGCACAAATTTAATAAGCCGATTAGTAAAAGAATTTTGGGATTGAATTATCAGTTGTAAAGTGATGGATAGAGTGATGAAGTAAGGGAAGTCAGGATACAGAGAAAAGCATATAGCTGAGAAACTTCTTTCAACCTTGTACAACTTTTTGTTAAAATAAAAAATGGTATTTTATAATGGATATAGAGGCATTGGGGGAAAGTTTGACCTTGAAGCCCCCACAATACCTCTCGTAAAACAGGTGCTTAGTTGGAAAAGATAAAAGAGAGTCAATCGAGAATCTTAGGGAAAATACAAACATGATTAAAGAAGTATCCCTTAAAAAATGACAGTAATTTCAAAATTATTGAAAAATAATTCAATTTTTCAGACGAATGCAGAAAAAAGAGAAATGAAAATTAATATTTAAAAGAAAGGGTATAAAATCATGGTCTGTGCAACGTTTATGAAAAGACAGTGTTGCATAAACACTAAGGTATTTTTATGGGAAAAAGAAACAAAACTTAGGTTAAAACAAAGTTAATACGGCCGAGCGCGGTGGCTCACGCCTGTAATCCCAGCACTTTGGGAGGCCGAGGCGAGCGGATCACGAGGTCAGCAGATCGAGACCATCCTGGCTAACATGGTGAAACTCCATCTCTATTAAAATTAAAAAAATTAGCCGGGCGTGATGTCGGGCGCCTGTAGTCCCAGTTACTCGGGAGGCTGAGGTAGGAGAATAGCGTGAACGCGGGAGGCGGAGCTTGCAGTGAGCCGAGATCGCACCACTGCACTCCAGCCTGGGCGACAGAGCGAGACTCCGTCTTGAAAAAAAAAAAAAAAGAAAAAACCAAAAACAAAGTTAATACAGGAGCAAGAACCAAAACAATGATAGGAAGCCTAAAAAGGAAAATGTTTACGGGTAAAACGCAGGTTAAAGGTTTTCTGCGGCACAAACGCCGGATAGGAGACTCCTAGCAGACGCCATAAGCCGAACAGACTCGCCCGGAAACGGAAACGGTGACGGGAGACCAGCGACATTCACGCCACCGGAGCCGCGCAGGCGCGCAGTGGATCGGCTGCTGCCGGCCACCGTCTTCCCCCTCTGTCATGTGACCTTCCTACAGCGCACTGCGGGCTGTTTCGCTGCGCCGAACAATGGCGCATTTCCTGCCACCATCCCTGTGAGATCGGAGTAGCTGGGCTTTGCGGCACAGCTCGCTCCGACAGACGGTCGGGACCCCGGCCCCGCCACGTATACTTGAGCGAATACGTCCGACATCTATATCACATTAGAAAACATTGAAAGAGTAATAACCCGTTAAGGCTGTAATCTAAGAAATTACATTCATCTTATGAACTGTAGTGCTACCAAAGAGGAGCGTGATGTATATGGAAACACATGGTTCCGGGTTTAATGTGACAGTGCAAAATCAGCTGAACTCGTTTTACACTCACATCCGAAGTATGATTCCGTGCATAGTAACACACTCCTATACATCCATGTTTGTAAATGAAATCAGTTAGCGTAATGGGATTCACTTCGACCTTTTAACCCTTGCGTTAAATGACAGGAAATGTGGTCTTGGGCCAGGATTCCCTGAGTCTTTACTGGGAATGGTTACCAATTGCATTTCACCCCTAACCCCTGCAGCAATTATGAATTATGTTTCAGTTTTTAAACGAATATAAGAAAAATCCTACTCAAATGAACACAGCAGTTCCTGGATGCTGGGCCGCCATCTGTTTTGTTTTGTGTTTTTTTTTTTCCTCTCCTGAATTTATTAAGGCTGCCATCAGCCCCCCTTTCTATTGCCATCAGCCCCCCTTTCTGTTGATGCTAGATGGCGCTGTGAGCACAGGGGTCCCTCATGCCCAAAAACTACAGTATAGCAGGTACTTCTGCAATTCAAGTAAGGAGGGGTTTAGGCGTGAAAGCAACCTATGCTTGGTACTGAAATTCGTTTTCTAGGTGGAAAGTTCCTTTTCTGATTTCGTATTTTTCACAGGGAGGTCCAACTGAGTCAAGAGAAGCTTCTACCTTGAAAATACTAAAATTTTGTGTGGACTCTTTTCCAGGACTTTAGGTTGTCTATTTTCATCACCCATAACTTTTTCTTTGCCAATGCAGGGGCTGAGCCTCAACCCCACATAATTTCTTAAAAATCTAGCCCTGACATAGATTTGTAACTTCCTTCATGTGTTCTGAAATTGCTATTCTTGTGATGCCTCAAATATTTTGACTTGTATACATGTCATGGTTTCTACATGAATACTAATCATTCTTTTGTCTTTCCCAGCTTAAATTTGCATCGTTTTTCAGCTACTTATTCATGTTTTCAATCTTAAATTACTTCCTGCAGGATACCTGCAGTGACCATTTAAATTAGTGTTGTATGCACATGCATTTTGTGGATTTCCACATAACTATGCAGCCTCTCTAATCTGATTTTTATTGCCTATATGTTCGAATATCAGCTTGACTGATGTCTCAGATATAGGAGAAATGTATGTTTGTTGTTCATTTGTCCATGCCTCACATGTAGCAATATATATACCACATGGTTGTCACTAGATTTTCTTAGTTTGCAAAAATGCATAGGTGAAAATCAACTGTCTTCCCTTATAGCGATAATGAAAAATTGAGCATTGAAGTTAAAATATATTTACAGCAATATAAAAATGATATTCTTAGAGATAAATCTGGCAAAAATTGTACTCTGGGAATTAGGAAACACTGATGAGATTAGTTTTAAAAGATCTAAATAAATACAGCGATACACTAATTTCATGAATTGGAAGGTCAATATTAAGAGAGCGATTCTTACATTTTAATCTATGCATTCACTAAATCCTCAATCAACATCCCATTATTTTTTTTTGTAGAAATTGACAAATAGATTCTAAAATTTGTATTAGAAAGTCAAAGTAGAATAGCCAAACACATTAAGAAAAGGAGGAACAATGTTAGGGTACTCACTTTACCTATTTCAAAATTTAATATAATGCAGTATTAGTACAGATAGTGTGCTTTGGTGTAGGGATATATATTTAGATAAATGAAACAGCTTAGCACCCAGAAATAGACCTACACTTATGTGGTTGGTAGATTTTTGACTCATGTTCCAAAGAAATTTAATGGCGAAAGGACAGAGTTTGCAACAAATGATTCTTGAACAACTGAATATTCATATACCAAAAATAAAAACCAAAATGTTCACCCTTATTTTGTAGTATATATTAAAAATTATTCAAAATTTATCATAGATTAAAATGTAAAACCTTAAGGTAGACAATTTCTAAAAAACAGCCAGGCGCAATGGGTCATGCCTGTAATCCTAGCACTTGGGAGGCCCAATGGGGTGGATAACTTGAGCCCAGGAGTTTGGGAGCAGCCTGGACAACATGATGAAATCTTGGCTGTATGAAAACACAAAAAAATTAGCCAGGCATGGTGGTGGCTGTAGTCTCAGCTACTTGAGAGTCTGAGGTAGGAGGATCACTTGAGCCTGGAAGGTGGAAGTTGCAGTAAGCCAAGATAGTGCCACTAGACTACAGCCTGGATGACAGAGTGAGACCTTGTCTCAACCACACACACACACACACACACACACACACACGAAAACATAGAGGTTAATCTTTGTGATTTTAGGTTAAGAAATAATTTGTATACAGGAAATAAATATTATAAAGCAGAAAAAGTAATGTATTCAATTAAAAATTATTATAATTGTTGTTTTTGAATGTCACTTAAGAAAATGGCAAGAGATGCCAGAGGCTCAGCATGAAATATTATTTTCAGTGTATAACTGTGATCAATCTTGTATAGAGAATTATACATATAAGATTAAATTTAAGAATAAATTAATAAACATTATAAAATAAAATGGTAACCATTAATCAATAGATATGAATGGCAAATAAGTACAAACTATGCTCATTGATGTGAATTGAAATCACAATGACCATTTAGACTGTTTATATCCATGAAGTTATCCATATTGATAACATTTTATATCCATAAAAATAATGAGCAAATTGTGGTATTTTCATTCAAGAAAGAATACGAAAGAGTACAAGTCAACATAAAAGAAAAACTACAGATACATGAAACAATATGATAAATCTCAAAAGTGTTATTCTAACTGAGAAAAAACATACCTAAATTATTACATACAGAATGATTTCATTTATATGACATTCTAGAAAAGGCAAATCTATTGAGATCAAGATGATCAATAATTGCCAAGGCTATGAGTGGGAGGAGGATTACTACAATGGGGAACAATGTAACTTTTTGAGGTTAAAATGTAATGCAGTTCTCTGGTTATCAGAGGGTAAATCAGATGGATTCTCCCCCTTTCTCACTTGCAATTCTCAAGAATAACTGTAGAATCAGCCCAGAATGCAATCTCCTGAGATAGGGAGAGACAGTTCTGACCAACCTGGGGTTTGTTCCTGCCCCTTCTAGTGAATGTGACATCTCGAGTTGAGAAGGAACCTCCAGGTCAACACAGTTTGTTCATCATCTCACTTTAGAAACTGACCCCCTACCACTCAAGTTGTTCTTAAATACTTTTCCTCTGCATTAATAACGTACACTGAGCTTAGGTTCCCTATTATAATATAATTTTAATTTGTACATCTTGCTGAGTGGTTCTACAATTTAATAGTTTTCATTTTAAGAGTCAGTGATTTGCAAATAAAAAGAATGAATGTAAGCATCCATTGCAGGGATCACACAAATTTTGGGGGAAGAAACAACAGATAACAGATGGGGAGTGACTTGTATTTTTAGTATTCCTAAAAACCTACGAATGCTCCTCTTATGGGGACAGTTTCAGTGGATGGCAATACTGCCACAGGAAGGCCAGAAATAACAGTAACGGGGTAAATAGTAAACTCATAAGTAAAACATCTAGAATAATAAGCTGAATTTTGCTTCTTTGGAAATGAGATAATTTTAAACTCATTTATTTGATTAAACATTTGGGCAAAATATGACAATGCACATTTGCTAGAATTAATAATTATATTCTGGCAAGCCTAAATTCATATGTCCACATATAAAAAGAAATAAAAAAAAATTTATTTGATGCTTTGAATATAAATGACATATTTTCTTTTTTGTTGTTGTTGTTGTTGACAGGGTCTAGCTCTGTCACCCAGGCTGGAGTGCAGTGGCGTCGTCTTGGCTCTCTGCAAGCTCAGCCTCCCAGGTTCATGCCATTCTCCTGCCTCAGCCTCCCAAGTAGCTGGGACTACAGGCGTCCGCCACCATGCTCGGCTAAGTTTTTGTATTTTCAGTAGAGATGGGGTTTCACCGTGTTAGCCAGGATGGTCTCCATCTCCTGACCTGGTGATCCACCCGCCTCGGCCTCCCAAAGTGCTGGGATTACAGGCATGAGCCGTAAATGACATATTTTCATACTGTACATGTGGTAAGCCACATCAAGTTGAAAATTCCGTTATTAAGGATAGATTTTCTGTCTGAGCTGTAAGCTCCATTTTTCATACACAAATCAGTGTATTTTGCTAGGGCTTAGAGAGTGATACCCCAAAGACTTGTGCTTTGACATGCTGAGAGGCCTTAGAAGCTGCCTCAGAATCAAGGTCCCTGTAATCCTGCCTTCTTCCTATCTCCAGTGGTAGAGAGGGGCTGTGTCTGAAATTTCCTTATCTGACCAAGAAAGTTTCTTTTGGAAAGAAATGTAATTGTATTAAAACCCCTCCCTGGGGATCTCATCCAAGAACTAGGAAAGATCATTCAGCATAGAAAAGACAGGGAGTCCTAACCATGCCTAGACAGACTTACCATCTTCTTTTGAGGGCAGCTCCAAGAGATTACCAGGAAGACATTATCTGCATAATAAAACAACCTTTGTTCCTGTGCAGCTCTGCCCCTCACCTTCCCCTAATGTCTACCTCCCACCTCCTGGGTCCATTTATCTTCTCTAATGACTGAATGCCCCTCCAAAGTCTTGCCTACATTCCCCATCTCCCCTCCCTTATGAAAAGGGTATGTAAGTTTATGTAGTACACTGCCTAACACACTGGGTTACTGGGTAATCAGTCTGAGGTTCACTGTGCTACTCATGTTAAAATAGAATTTTGTATGCCCTTTCTCCTATTAATCTGCCTTTTGCCAGCTGATTTTTCAGTGAACGTTCAGAGAGCAAAGGGAAAATTTTATCTTCTCTCCTATAGCTGCTCTGTCAAGAAACAAGCTGCAAAGTCAAGAAATGAGCTCCAGGCCCTGCCACAATAATTTCTGCACTCTGTTCTTAAGTCATCTTTTCAGTTGTTCCTGAACCTAGACTCATAGTTTTGTTAATTTTATTATTATTATTATTAAGACAGAGTCTTGCTCTGTCACCCAGGCTGGAGTACAGTGGCACCATCTTGGCTCACTGTAACCTCTGCCTCCCAGGTTCATGCAATTCTCCTACCTAAGCTTCCCGAGTAGCTGTGATTAGAGGTGCACACCGCCACGCCCAGCTAATTTTTGTATTTTTAGTAGAGATAGGGTTTCACCATGTTTGCCAGGCTGATCTGAAACTCCTGACCTCAAGTGATCCACCTGCCTTGGCCTCCCAAAATGCTGGGATTAGAGGCGTGAGCCACTGTGTCTGGTCAACTTTTACATATATAAATAATATATACACATACACACACGTCTTAGTAGCAAATGAATATATATATAAAATGAATTATATATAAATATATATAAATATATAAATATATATAAATATATAAATATATATAAATATATATATATATATATATATATATATATATATATATATATATATATATATATATATATATATATATATATATATATATATACATAAATATATATAAATATACATAAATATATATGTAAATATATATAAATATATATATGTAAATATATATATGTAAATATATGTAAATATATATAAATATATATATGTAAATATATATAAATATATATATGTAAATATATATAAATATATATATGTAAATATATATAAATATATAAATATATATAAATATATATGTAAATATATATAAATATATATAAATATATATAAATATATATGTAAATATATATAAATATATAAATATATGTAAATATATAAATATATGTAAATATATATAAATATATAAACATATATAAATATATATATTTGCCATATGTGTAATTTTTAAAATTTAAAAATGTTTTAAAAATGCAGTATATGTCTTAGATAGCAATTTTGCATTTTTAAACATTTTAAAATTAAAAACATCACTTGTAAAATACATACAACATAACATCTATCATTTTCTTTTTTAAGATGGAGTCTCACTCTGTTGCCCAGGTTGGAGTGCAGTGGTAGGATCATAGCTCAATGTAGCCCTGAACCCCTAGGCTCAAATGTGTCCTCTGGCCTCAGCTTCCAGAGTACCTGGGATTATAGGTGCAAGTGATTGTGCCTGGCTATTTTACAAATGTTTAAGTGTACAGTTCAGTAGTATTAAGTACATTCAGACTGTTGTGTGATTAATTCCCAAATTACTTTCATCTTGCAAAATTGACACTCTATACTCACTAAAGAGTAACTCCCCATTCCTCCCTCCTGTGCTCTTGGCAACCACCATATTACTTTCTGTCTCTATGAATTTGACTACCCTAGGTAGTTTGTATAAGTGGAATCATACAGAATTTGTCTTTTTGTGACTGGTTTAATTCACTTACCATAATATCCTCGAGGTTTATTCATTGAGCATTATCTATCAGAATGTCCTTCCTTGTATGCCTGAATAGTAGTCCATTGTATGTAGACAGGTTAAGTATCCCTAATCCAAAAAAGCAAAATTTGAAATGCTCAAAAATTTGATACTTTTTGAGTGCCAGCATGATGCTCTAAGAAAATGCCCATTGGAGCATTTTGAATTTTGGATATTTAGGGATTAGGGATGTTCATCCTCTACATGTGATGCAAATATTCCAAAATCCAAAATCTAAAATATTCCTAGTCCCAGGCATTTTGGATACAGGATACTTAACCTGTACCACATTTTGTTCATCTATTCATCTGTCAGTGGATACATGAATTGCTTCCATGTTTTGGCTAATGTGAATAATGCTGCTATAAACATGAGTGCACAAATATCTCTTCAAGACTCTGCTTTCAATTCTTTCAGGTACATGCCCAGAAATTAAATTTCTGGATTATATGGTAATACAATTTTTAACTTGTTGAGGAACTACCAAATGGCTTTCTCTAGAGGGTATACCATTTTGTCTCCCCACCAACAGTGTACAGGGATTCCAATTTCTCCACATCCTCACCAACATTTTTTGTTTTCTGGATTTCACAGTTTTTTTTTGTATAGTAATCATCCAAATTGGTTTGAGGTGATATCTCATTGTGCATTTGATTTGCATTTCCCTGATAACCATGATATTCAGCATCCTTCCATGTGCTTATTGGCCATGTATGTATCTTCTTTGGAGAAATGTCTATTCAAGTCCTTTACCCATTTTTTAAAATCAGTTTTTTTAATGTTGAGTTGTAGTCGTTTACATGTTCTGAATATGAACTCCTTATCAGATATAGGATTTGCAAATATTTTCTCCCATTCTGTATACTGCCTTTTTAGTGTATGGATTGTGTTCTCTGATACACAGAAGGTTTTAATTTTGATACATTTCAATTTATAAATTTTTACTTTTGTTTCCTATGCTTTTGGTGGCATATCCAGTAAATCACTGCTAAGTCTGATAGTAATAAACTTTTCACCTATGTTTTCTTCAAAGAGTTTTAGACTTTTAGCTCTTATATTTAGGTTTCGATCCATTTTGAATTTTTAAAATATACAGTATAAGGTAAGGCTCCAAATTCATTCTTTTGTGTGGGGATACCCAATTTTCCCTACATCATTTGTTGAAAAAACGATCTTTCCTCAGTTGAATGGCCTTGACATCTTTACAAAAAATCCTTTGACTACATATGTGAAGGCTTATTTCTGGGCTCTCTGTTCTATTAGTCTATATATCTGTCTTTATGCCAGCACCTCACCGTTTTGATTTCTGTAGCTTTGTAATAAGTTTTGAAATCAAGAAGTATGAGACCTTCAATATTGTTCTTTTTAAAGATTACTTTGAGTATTCAGAGTCCATTGAGATTCTGTATGAATTTTGGGATCCAATATAATCTTTGATAGTGACAGAGTTTCACTTCTTGGTCAAACTCTAGCTAGGCTCTTCTGAGCCCTCTTCTGGACTAGACTTTAACTGTGACCTACAAATAAGAACTGCAGACTCCCCGTATAAATTATTTCATTCAACCCCTCTCCTACCACATTAAAAGACTTAGCCAAACACTAAAACAGTTTCTACTAGCGCAAGGTCGTTAACCGCAGTATGAGTCAAGGCTGCCAAAAAAATTTACTTTTTGTTCCAGCCAACACCTGAGAATAGGCCCCTGGCCACACTTTCTTAGAACAATTATTAAAAAGCTTACCATTTTGAATCCTTCCTCTGTCCCTTTGAGATACATATGTTTCCCTTTCAACTCAAGAGAGCCTTTCTCAAAGACCTGAAAGTCATTGCTTTGAAATGTTATCACTGGGAAGGATAGGGCTTCTGTCTCCTATTCTCTGTGGAAAGATAGAATCCTAACCTCAATAACTGCCAGCTAGCAGACACAGCTGGCCTAAGCACAGTTACGCTTAACCAGCCTTTGTGGTTTTTCACTTTCCTGACTCTGTAACCACCTGAAGGGTTCTTGTTGCCCGGTGAATAAAGACGGACCAAGGCATTATAGTAGAGAAAGAGTTTAATAGACACAGGGCTGGCCACACCACATGGGAGATAGGGTTTATACCCAAATCATCTCACCTGAATTGCATAGATTAGGGTTTTTTAAAAGCAATTTGGGGGAAGAGGTGGGGGTGGTCAGGTAACATGTGCTTGCTGCTGATTAGTTGGGGTGGAGATGAAATCATAGTGGGGGTCGAGGCTGTTCTCCTGAGGGCCAAATCGCTTCTGGTGGGGCCTTAGGCGTGGGTGGGACTGGCAGTCCAGGTGGAACCGTCAGGTTTAGGTGGAGCCATAGGTGTCAGACTTGTAAAAAACCTGGAAAGATATCTCAAAAGGCCAATCTACAATAGTGGTGTTATTTGCAGGAGTAATTGGGGAAGTTGCATGTCTTATAACCTACGGATAATGTCTGCACCTTAGCAGGACCCAGGCGCCTCTCCTCCCCACATCCTGATAAGCCTCCCATTAGCTTTACAAAAGCAGTTGAGTTTTAGGGAAGGCCTATTATCTTTTACACTGTAGCCTAAATTTCTTACAAAGTTAGCTCAGCCCAACAGCCCAGAAATAATTAAGGGAAAGGCAAGAAAGGGGGTGGGTTAGTTTAGTTTACTGTTACATTTTTTCTCACTGACATAATATTTGCAAAGGCAGTTTCAACTCTAGTAAGGCCCTGCTCATCCCTCTCCCCTACCCCACTCCCTCATTCTTCCTTTAAAAAGCCCACTTTCCATTGTGCAATTCAAAGTTGAGTTCAGTTTACTCTGGATCCTCCCCGCTATTACAATAGTCATTACGAATTAAAATCTGTCCTTATCACTTTAGTGTCTGGTTTTGTTTTCTTTAACAATACCACAGAACCTAAGTGTCCATCAATAGATGAATGGAAAAAGAAAATGTGGTACATATACACAATGGACTACTATTCAGCTATAAAAAATAATGAGATCCCATTATTTGCAACAGCATGGATGGAGCTAAAGATAGTTATGTTAAGTGGAATAAGCCAGGCACAGAAAGGCAAACTTCCTATGTTCTTATTTGTAGAAGCTAAAAACAAAACAACTGAACTCATGGACATAGAGAGTAGATGACTGGTTAGTTACCAGAGGCTGGGAAGGGCAGTGGGAGGCTAGAAAGGAGGTGGGGTAATTAATAGGCCCAAGAAATAGAAAGAATGAATAAGATCTAGTATTTGATAGCACAAAAGAATGAATAAGGTCTAGCATTTGATAGCACAAAAGAATGAATAAGGTCTAGCATTTGATAGCACAATAGGTGACTATAGTCAATAACAACTTAATTGTGCATGTAAAAATAACTAAAAGAATGTAATTGAATTATTTGTAATGCAAAGGATAAATGCTTGAGGGGATGGAAACCCCATTCTCCATGATGTGATTATTACACATTGCATGCCTGTACCAAAACATCTCATGTACACCATAAATATATAAACCTACTATATACCCACAAAATTTAAAAATAAAAAAATTAAATTGGTAAATTGTGTGACATTTCTCCAAAGAAGCAATACAAACTCCTTTAAGCATATAAAATGATTTTCAACACCATTTGTTCTTAAGGAAGTGAACATATAAATCACCATATGCTTCAAAAAAAATTAAAGGCATATTTTGAAATGATAAAGGCCAGTTTAGAAAGACTACAGACTGTATAATTCCATTGATATGACACTTTGGAAAAGGTAAAACAATGGAGATGTTAAACCGGTTAATGGTTACTAGGTGCTTTTGAAGGAGGAAGGCTGAATATGTAAAGTACATGGAACTTCTATAGGGCAGTGAGACTCATCTGAAGGACACTGTAATGATGGGTATATTGTACTGTTTTTGAAGCCCTATAGAACTTTATAACTCAAAGAGTGAACATAAATGTTTGAAAATTAAATACCTAGTTAATATGTTGGAGGAGAAATGCAGACAAAATAAGATAAATGAATAACAAATGTATAAAATAATCTCACTGAAGGGAGATTATAAAGGTGGGGAAAGATGCTGACCTAAGTAACTAAGGAAATAAGTGGAAATTCTGAGCCTAAAAGCCAAAGGAGTGTCCATGAGCACTGTACTTTAGTTGGTAATGCTGTTTCACTAGGGGTATAGATTAACTATTCTGAAGCCACTGCACATGTAATTTGGAACTCAATTATTAAGTAAAGGAGGCCAAATTTCTCACTGTTAGAGTGAGAGATTACGAAGAAGTAGAGGGAATGGGGAGATTGACTCACGTGGTGCTGGATTAGATGCCGTTGGTGTTAGAGACATTAGGGGAATTCATATTTAACTTAATAAAGATACACATGAACACATGAGGAAATATTTATAGATACATTTATATGTGTGTGTTAGTATACACAGGTATATTTCTTTGCTGTGTCAGCTAACAAGGCCCCCAGTCAACAGATGACCCTGTAGCGACTCTTTGAAGAAATGGTGGATACTTGGCTTGGGCATGAAATAAACACAATTTGCCTGGATCATCTTGTAGTGCCTGAAAGTAAGAAAGTGTGAAATAACACACACAGCCAATGAAATAAACTAAAGCAAACCACAATGATGTGGGTTATTTCAAAATGATACAGGAGCCAACTGAGAGACCTCTAGTGGCCAGCATTGAAACAATTTGAGCAATAGAATAAAGAAAGAATTATAAAACAGTGTAAATTAAATAGCCATAATTTCATACAATATTTTCCAGGATACAAATAAATAATTGGATAAATATGAAATAAATTATGGAAAACAGCCAAATTGCCCTTGTTGAAGAAGCTTCAACGACATTTTCAGATACTCTTTTCATAAGAAGTTGAAGCATGAATACCCTCTATGTATAGTGCTATGTATAGTGACATATTTTCTTTTTTTACTTTGATTTTAGGTTCAGGGATACATGTGCAGATGTGCTTTACCTGTAGATAAAATTTACCGATAGGTAAATTGCATGTCACTGGGGTTTGGTGTACAGATTATTTTGTCACTCAGGTAATAAACACATATCCTGATAGGTGGTTTTTTGATCCTCATCCGCCTCCCACCCTCTACCCTCAGGTAGACTCCAGTGTCTGTTGTCCCCTTCCTTGTGTCCATGTGTACTCAAAGTTTAGATGCTGATTATAAGTGAGAATATACTATATTTGCCCTCTCTCACCACTCGTATTCAACATAGTATTGAAAGTCCCAGCCACAGCAATCAGGCAAAAGAAATAAAAGGCATCAAAATAGGAAGAGAAGAAATCAAAGTATCCTCAGTTGCAGATGATATGATTCTATACATAGCAAACCCCATAGTCTCTGCCCCAAATCTCCTTGATCTGATAAACAACTTCAGCAAAGTTTCAGGATACAAAATCAATGTACAAAATCAGTAGCATTTTTATACACCAACATCATTCAAACTGAGAGCCAAATCAAGAATGCAATCTTCCTCACAATAGCCACAAAAAGAATAAGCTGTATTCCCAGAAATACAGCTAACCAAGGAAGTGGAAGATCTCTACAATGAGAATTATTAGGTGAGTTCAAAAGTAATTGAGGTTTTTGCGTTGTTGGAATTTGCCATTTGATGCTGGAATACATTCTTAAATTAATGTAGCTATGTTATACATCATTTTAATTGTTTTTGCTAATGACTTACTACTTGCTGTTTACTTTGTTTATTTTAGACTATGGAAATAATGTTTTGAACTCTTATTCGAGAGCAAAATGGGTTGTAAAGTAGCAGAGACAACTTGCAACATCAACAATGCATTTGGCCCAGGAACTGCTAACGAACGTACAGAGCAGTAGTGGTTCAAGAAGTTTGGCAAAAGAGATGAGAGACTTGAAGATGAGGAGTGTAGTGACCAGCCATTGGAAGTTGACAAGGACCATTTGAGAGCAATCATTGAAGCTGATCCTCTTACAACTACACAAAGTTGCTGAAGGACTCAACGTCGATCATTCTATGGTCATTCAGCATTTAGAAGCAAATTGGAAAGGTGAAAAAGCTCGATAAGTGGGTGCCTTATGAGTTGAGCAAAAATAAAAAAAAATTGTCGTTTTGAAGGGTCACCTTCTCTTATTCTAAGCAACAACAATGAATGAATCTCGATGGGATTGTGATGTGGGACGAAAGTGGATTTTGTACAACAACTGACAACTACCAGCTCGGTGGTTGAACTGAGAAGAAGCTCCAAAGCACTTTGCAAAGCCAAACTTGCACCACAAAAAAAAGACGTCACAGTCACTGTTTGTGGTCTGCTGCTGGTCTGATCCACTACAGCTTTCTGAATCCCAGCGAAACCATTACGTCTGAGAAGTATGCTCAGCAAATTGATGAGATGCACTGAAAACTGCAATGCCTGAAGCTGGCATGTTCAACAGAAAGAGCCCAATTCTTCTCTTTGACAATGCCCACCAGACCACATGTTGCACAACCAATGCTTCAAAAGTTGAACGAATTGGGCTTCCATGAAGTTTTGCCTCATCAGCCATATTTACCTGACCTCTTACCAACCAACTACCATTTCTTCAAGCACCTTGACAACTTTTTGCAGGGAAAACACTTCCACAACCAGCAGGATACAGAGAATGCTTTCCAATAGTTCATCAAATCCCGAAGCATGGCTTTTTACACTACAGGAATAAACAAACTTATTTCTCATTCAACAAAAATGTGTTGGCAGGGCGCAGTGGCTCACGCCTGTAATCCCAGCACTTTGGGAGGCCGAGGAGGGGGCATCACCTGAGGTCAGGAGTTCAAGACCAGCCTGTCCAACACGGCAAAACCCCATCTCTACTAAAAATACAAAAATTAGCCAGGCATGGTGGCACACACCTGTGGTCCCAGCTACTCTGGAGTCTGAGGCAGGAGAATTGCTTGAACCCAGGAGGCGGAGGTTGCAGTAAGCCGAGATTGCACCACTGCACTCCAGCCTGGGTGAAAAAGCAAGACCTTGTCTCAAACAAACCAACAAACAAACAAAAAAAAGAGTGTTGATTGTAATGGTTCCTATTTTGATTAATAAAGATGTGCTTGAGCCTAGTTATAATGATTTACAATTCACAGTCTGAAACCACATTTACTTTGGCACCAACCTAATACAAAGCACTCCTCAAAGAAGTACAGTGACATGTTTTCAAAAAGGAAACTGGTGAAATGGGAAAAGAGAGTAATTTCACAGTGGAGTAATCTGATAAATCTCTCTTATCCAGGTGATAAAATTATCAACACAGAAAAGGTGTGTTGATAATATCTACCTTTGATAAGATGTGATAAAAATGACAACTTCCTCCTCCCCCAAATCCATAATCCAGTAAAATCATGAGAAAAACATCAGAGAAATTCCAAATCAGGGATGTAATTATCATCAACATAGGGAAAATGAGCCTAATGAGACATGATATCTAAAAATGATGGGTTATCCTGGATGGGATCCTGGAACACAAATATTTGTTAAGTAAAAGAGAAAATCTAAGTAAAATGTGGTTGTTAATGAATGATAATGTCTATTATTAAATTATTAATTGTGACAAATATTCTCCACTGTCAGAGATAAAGAATGCAGTACATAATAATAAGGTGTCAATTGTCCGAGAAGATGTAACAATCCTGAACAAGTGTGCATCTAACAACAAGGCATCAATCTATGTGAGGCAGAAACTTAAAACCACAAGGAGGAATAGTTGAATTCACCTTGTAGTTGTAGACTTCAACACTCCTCTTTCAGAAATAGACAGATCCAGTAGGCAGAAAAAAAGCAGAATTCAGTTGAACACAGCAGCACAATCAATGAACTTGATACAATTGACACCCACAGACTATCCAACAATGGCCAGAATGCAGAGTCTTCTGAAGCCCACGTGAATCACTCACTAAGATAGATCAAATTCTCCCCCATAAAACACACCTTAGCAAATTTAAAAGAATGGGAATCCTTCAACACATGCACTCAAACCACAACAGAATTAAGCTACAAATCAGTAAAAGAAAAATAAATGGTAAATTGCAAAATACATAGCAAAATAACATACTTCTAAATAACACATGGGTCAAGGAAGAAATTTCAGGACAAATTTTAAAAACATTTTGAACTAAATTTAAAGGAAATTACAACCTATCAAATGCAACATGGAATGCAATGTGGAAGGTTAGAGAGAAACGGATAGCCTTAGTGTAATATGAGAAAAGAGGAATCTAAAGATCACTCATCTAAATTTCCACCTTAGGAAGCTTAAAAGAAAAAAGTAGAGACAGTTAAATCCAAAGCAAATAGAAGAAAAGATATATTTTAAAGACCGCAGGAAAAGAAGTAAAAGATAAAGCAACTGGAATTTTTAATTGGGTATTGATAGCCTAAAAGTTCCCAGAACATGTAAGTATCCAATGTTAACTAGGAAAATACAACACCCCAAACTTAACCCTTGCTTATAGGCATGCAGGCAGGACTCTGAAGACATGAAGGGTGTATAAACCAGGGTAATTTCATTTGGTTACAAAGTTGGCACATTTTTTAACTGTGAATAATTCACCCATAAGAAATTTAGGTATGTATAGTTAGGTATACAAGGTATTGGGTACAAGGATAAAGACAAAATACATATTATTCTCTGAGAAACACGAGAAAATCATGAGGCTTCTAGGAGAATATCAAAGAACATGGAAGAGGTCATGCAGACAGACATTGGTGAACATGTGTTTATCCTTGGGGAAAAGTCCCGAAAGGCCCACCCACTGCCACCCTCCACCATCTCTGCATGTTCCCAGTTTTCACTGTCTTTGGAGTTCTCATTGGGTCCCTTGTCTGTTCAGCTGCAGATCTCCCTATTCTACAGCTTCCTGTTAGAATGTTTTCACCCACAATGTATTGATACCAGGTGGTGTTGAGTTGTACACTGCATTTTCTTTCTTTCCTTCCTTTCCTTCCTTCCTTCCTCCCTCCCTCCTTTCCTTCCTTCCTCCTTCCTTCCTTTTTTTTTTTTTCAGAGTCTCACTCCATTGCCCAGGCTGGAGTGCAGTGTTGCAATCTTGGCTCACTGCTACCTCTGCCTCCTGGGTTCAAGCAATTCTCCTGCCTCAGCCTCCCAACTGGCTGGGACTAAAAGTGTACACCACCATGCCCGGTTAATTTTTGTATTTTTAGTAAACATGGGGTTTCATCATGTTGGCCAAGCTGCTCTTGAACTCCTGACCTCAAATGATCCACCTGCCTCAGTCTCCCAAAGTGCTGGGATAATAGGCATGAGCCATCGTGCCTGGCATGGACACTGAATTTTCTTATCCATAGATCGTATCTGCACCTGGAAAATGATGGAAGGGACAAAAACCATGTTTACAAAGTCTACAGAAGCAGAGAGTAATGTCCTAGGCCTTCACCTTCACTCACCACTCACTAATTTACCCAGAGCAACTTCCAGTCCTGCAAGCTCCGTTTATGGTAAGTGCCCTATACAGGTGTGCCATTTTTTATGTCTAATACTGTATTCTTACCTTTTCCATGTTTAGATATGTTTACAGGCACACATATTTGCCATTGTGTTACAATTGGCTAGAATATTCAGTACAGTAACACACTGCAAAGGTTTGTAGCCTAGAAGCAATAGGCATACAGCCTAGGTGTATAGGAGGATATACCAGCTAGGTCTGTGTAAGTGCACTCTATGATGTTCACAATGTAAGCAAAAAATAAAATTCTAAGAGTGCCCAGTCATCTGGATGGACTTTCCCCTCAGCCAGAGCTCTTTTAAAATTTAACCTGAAAGACTGGTTCAGGCCCTAACAGGAAGTGGGGGTTGGTCATGCCTCAGTATACCTCTCCAGCATTAATATTAATACCAACTTTAAGTCTGAGTAGAAACATTTTAAAACCTAGGCAGGTGCAGTGGCTCATGCCTGTAATCCCAGCAATTTGGGAGGCCCAGACGGGCAGATCACCTGAGGTCAGGAGTTCAAGACCAGCCTGGCCTACAGGGCAAAACCCTGTCTCTACTAAAAATACAAAAATTAGGCACCCTGGCGCATCCCGTAATCTCAGCTACTCGAGAGGCTGAGGCAGAAGAATTGCTTGAACCCTGGAGGTGGAGGTTGCAGTGACCCAAGATCGCACTACTGCATCCCAGCCTGGGCGATAGAGTGAGACTCTGTCTCTAAAACAAAAATAAACACAAAAACCTATTCTCTCTGAAGCCTGCTACCTGGAGGCTTCATCTGCATGATAAAACTTTGGTCTCCACAACCTTTTATCTTAACTGAGACATTCCTTTCTTTGATTCCAGGTCTTTAGACCAACTCAACCAATTGTCAATCAGAAAATGTTTAAGTTTACCTTCACCCCCCACCCCTCTTAGAATACCTGCCTTTCTGGACCAAACCAATATATTTCTTATATGTATTTGCTATCTCATGCCTCCCTAAAATGTATAAAACCAAGCTGCACCCTAACCACCTTGGGTGCGTGTTCTCAGGACCTCCTGAAGATTGTGTCCCGGGCCATATTTGGCCCAGAATAAATCTCTTCAAATATTTTACAGAGTTTGACTCTTTTCATTGACAATAAAATGACCAACTCGACAAATGACACATTTCTTAGAACACATCCCCGTTCTAATGCTTGACTGTAGTTAATTGACAGAGATATCCTTTCTTATAGTTCCATGTGAAATATTTGATTCATTGACACACAGTGGCTGACTTCCATGGAGACTCCTACTGATACTGTGTATAGGTCAATTATGATCTTCCCTTTAGTGTTACAAACGGAGTTTAATTATCGATTTTTCTCTGTGAGTTTCACACACATTTTTCCTTTGTATTGCGAGCTAGAAGCAAACAGCTGGGAATGCAGTAATCATTGTGTAATTGTGGAAGGTATGAATCAAAACGCTGTGGAAAAACAAATATGGTTTGGACATGCCTCAACAAATGTAAAAAACTGGACAGCTTATATGGAACAATGGAAATTATACGGAACAATAAAAATTATATGGACCAATGGTTTGCAAGACACTGTACATCAATCAAGGACGGACAGTAATCCCTGAAAGACTTAAAACAATTATAGGAGCCCTAAGATTGTGTCAAGTTACAGCTTTAAGTTTCCTTCTGTAGTGTGGCAAGGACTTTTGAGACTTTTTGTGTCGAGAAGATGAAACTGAGGGTCTTAAGAAGAGTTTTGCTCAGTGTCATCAAGCCATTATCCAAGCCCAGTGTTAAGAGTGGAAGAGAGGAATCATGCCAGCACCTATGCAGAGAGGGTTGGCTTGTGCTACCATTTTCTATATTGACATGGGTCACAGAACTATGGGAGCAGTCCAGGAGAAAAGGCAAAGCCACTCGAAGAAGTCATTTTAATGAACTTAGCCTTCAACGCTTTCATCTTATTCCTAACTGTAAAAAGACAGGCTTTTACATGACACAGCCCATGTTGCAGCATTAGCCCACGATGAGAGGCGACTCGTTAGAGATGAAAGAACTGCTTATGAGTAGGATGAACCACCACACCTAAACCAAACCTGCATTTTCTACAATGTGTTGTTATGTGTGACTGATATACTGATTACATTTTGATGCTCTGTGACTTGGGATGTTTCACTTAAGATTTTTCAACTTTATGATAGTGGGAAACTGACATGAATTCAGCAGAAAGTGTACTTCAAGGACCCATGAAACCATTGTGTTTTTCACCTTCAGTACAGTAGTCAATAAATTGCATAAGCTATTCCACATTTTATTATAAAATAGGCTTTGTGTTAGATAACTTTGCCCAACTGGCTGCTACACAAGCAATGAAATCTTCAGTCTAGTGATCTAAAAAATATTTTTGGCAGGATTTCCAAAACATTTATGAGCTGTGAGAATCCAAGTTTCCAAGAGCATTGATACTTTATGGATATTTTTATTCCAAATGATAGATGGATATTTGTTTGCCAGGTGATGCTGTGGTCAGGGGCTGTGGTCTTCTATACTCTATACAGAGAATTTCAAGGGCAGATCTTCTTAAAAACAAAACAAAACAAGACAGTTCCCCTGGTCTCCATCATCTTCGTTATTTTATTGTATTGTGATTTGATACCACTAATCTTAATTTTCCTAAATATTGAGAGCCACCCAGTACTCCATGCAAACTATATAGCTGTGGTATGTATGTAGTGAAAGACAGCAGGGCAAGGTCATCCCCAAATTTAAAAGAAACGAATATCCAACTATAAAAAACTAGAAACATCCTGTCTGTGAAAACGCTTTGTGATGTACATTTTTATTATCACAGAATGGAACCTGTGTTTTGATTCAGCAGGTTCCAAACACTCTTTCGTAGAATCTATGAAGTGACATTACTGAGGCCGTTGAATCATGTAAAACAAAAAACAAAAACGTATATCCAGCTCTAAAAACTAGAAAAAAGCTATCTATGAAAATGATTTGTGATGTTCTGTTTTATACGACAGAATGGAATCTGTGTTTTGATTCACCTGTTTTCACTCTTTTTATAGAATTTATGAAGATTTTCAGGGACACAAATAAAGGACCTAAAAATTACTGGTTTTCCTTCTTTTGATGAGAAATGCATTATGCTCTTTTAAATAGAAACCTCCATTTAAATTACAGATGATCCTCAATTTATGATGGGTGTACTTCCTGATAAACCCATCGTAAGTTGAAAATAATTTAATTGGAAAATACATGTAATACACATAACTTACCAAACATAATAACTTAATCTAGCCTACCTTTAATATACTCAGAACTCAGAATTGCTTCTTGAGTCCTAAATTCCTGTTCAAATGTGCTTTAGGAATCTCACCTTCACTAGTTAGGACACTGAACCATCTGTTCACATGCAAACTATGCCAGAGGAGTATAAAAGGTTTAGCCTAAAACAGTGGATATTGACACAGCAGCTAGATAACTGAGGTAGGTATATTATTAACTGAGTCAAAAAAACATAAAATCTAAAAAAAACTCACACCTGTGATAACTTTTAAAAATATTTTGCTAGTTCACTGATAACAGAAAATAAAGTTTTTAATTCTTTTTCTCCAAGGCCATGTTATAAAAATATATGCTGCCTGGAGATGTATGACATTTCCTGAATGGCATTTTTATTTCAATGAAAACTAAAAACAATTTAATAATCACTCATCAAAGAGTAAAAAAAAAATACATGTCTATATATTGGTTGTCTGGACAAAAACACATCATGCAGACATTTACAAAAACAAGTTGGAAGGAATCAAAGATTCCAGACAATGTCTACAGCTTTTTGGTAAGAATAAAAACAAACAATATGAGGACATTCTTACTTGCACAGTAACAAAGTGATTCTCTGCATTCACAATGGGATTTTTGGTGTTGCCTCCACACAAATTAATGCCTGTGACCTTTCACAATTAGAACAAACTAAGCCATATAGTGCAAACAATGAAAGATTATTTTAAGCATGTGACTCTCAGTAAATTTTGTCTTATGGTCCTCACAAAAGCCTGTGTCCCTCTCCTTTTCAACCTGAGGTATTTCACAGCAAATTTCTAGAAAATACTAAAATGAAAATTGTGTAACATCTGTCTTTCTCAATAAAAGTGATATTTCCATTCAATTAGTAAAGAATGATGCTTGAAAAGGTAACTGAAAATGTATTTTGAAAAGCGATTATGAATGCATTTTTATATACAGGAATGAAAAGCATTAATACGCAATACAGAAATATGAATGGTTTTAGATGATGTTTATGTGAGGTAAAAAATGCATAGAAGTGTTAACTATATTTGCCAAAAAAAGGCAAGAACAAATATTACCAGGAAAGTCTGAAGCTGTTAAACGTCCTTGATTAGCAAGATGAATGACGTAGAGAAACATCTTTATTATACAAACAAACTGCATTCTTCAAACTATCCCAGGGGACAGCTGGCCTTGCCCCTGCAGACCCCACAGAAGGCTCTGAGCTCAGCTGCAGTGGCTGTGACTCTGCCCTTGGTGGGCGTGGTCTGCAGCAGGAGAACTGCCTTCAAGGGGCAACTGCACTTGCACAGGAGGCACATAGGGATGTCTGTAGGGGTTTCTGCCTCATCTGGCTGTTGGGGGAGTAGAAAATCCCCAGGCTACAAAAAGTAGAGACCTGTAACAAAGCACATTGAGCTCTAATAAAATTCACCAAAAAAGTAGTAAGCAACTAACGTGGAGACTAATATTAGGAGGATTACCTAAGATTCACAAGGACATTGGAGGCATAAGTATCATCAGTAATATTCCAATGTTCTAAACCCTCCTCTTTATTCAGAGTACAGCTGGGAATACAGGTATTTGTGCAAGGTATGCAGGTTTTTACTCTTCCCTTTCTTCCTTACAGAATAGACCAGTGAGTAAGATAACAGGCTATGGGTAATTTTTATGTTAAATGCATTCTCTTAGTAATTAAGAAAATGTGATATTTGCATAGAGATAAAGCAATGAAATAAGTAGAGCTCAATAACAGACAAAATCATACAAAAGAAAATAATTTATAAGCGAAATTAATGGGGTAAAGATGACTTTTACAATCAATGATCCAGGAAATCAAATATTCATTGGGGAACATCAAATCCATCTTTAATTTTGTACTACACACAAAATCAGTTGCAGGTAGATAATAAACTCAAATATAAAAATAATTTAATACAGTATTTATACCTGCTTTAGGAAAATAACTTTGTGACTATGGGATAGGGTAAGATTCCTTAAATTAGTCATAGAAAATATTTACCACACAAGAGAAAAGATATTCTAACATAGCTGACGGGAGCAAGGACTGGATATGGACCAAGTCAAACTCAAGGTCCTCATTTTCCTTTCTTGTAGGACTTAGCTCAGATTCAGAAATTGAACATGGGAGTGAGAGTAGTGCCTACCACGTGAGACTTTGTGAGAACTGAATGATCAAATGATACATAACACCTATAGACTTATATCAACCATGAAGTGAGTATTTGTTAATACTGATACTGTTTTCTACAAAATGGAATATGGATCATTTCCATAATTGTAAAATGCAACATGATTTTATGTTACAGTGAAGGAATAAAACCTTGACAAAGTATGACAAAATGCTTCTTATGACTTCAAGTATTTAGCAAATATTGAAAATAATTCTTATTAATGTATATGTGTGTGGATGCTTGTCTTTTTTCATTCCATTTATTTAATGAGATGAAATTATAAGCAAAATATGTTAATAAAGGTACTGATAAATTTTTCCCACTCAGAACAAACTCTTCTGAATCCCTTTTAAACTCATCTCATCCATGATTTTTCCTTCATTATCATCATCTCTGCTAATCAGAAGCACTGGTGATGCTGCATTTCTTGTGAGATTCCTTTGCTACACTCTGTGGGATTATCCTTCTAACCTACTGACAGCCGTCTGCCAGTTTCCGTGTTGATGATTTTAGTAGAAGATGTCAATGAAAGGTTTGTTTTTTTTTTTTTTTTTTTTTTGAGACAGAGTCTTCCTCTGTTGCCCAGGCTGGAGTGCAGTGAACAGTGGCACCATCTCGGCTCACTGCAAGATCCTCCTCCCAAGTTCGCGCCATTCTCCTGCCTCAGCCTCCTGAGTAGCTGGGACTACAGGCACCTGCCACCATGCCCAGCTAATTTTTTGTATTTTTTAGTAGAGACGGGGTTTCACCGTGTTAGCCAGGATGGTCTTGATCTCCTGACCTCGTGATCTGCCCACCTCGGCCTCCCAAAGTGCTGGGATTACAGGCATGAGCCACTGCGCCTGGCCAATGAAAGGTTTTTTAGACCCAGTTCATGTGTGTGCATATGAGGAGAACCACATATGACCATATTCTGGGCAACAGTGCTTTGACACTATCAATTGTTAGATGGAACTCTATTTGAAAGTTGTGAAAATACATCCTCTAGCATTAGTGGAATATATTATTTTTCTCTGTGGCTGCCTATTTCTCAGTGTTATATTGTGGTGTCTCATTGGCTGTATTCTGCTTTGTTAGTGAGAAAACCTGTTGAAATATAGATTCATACAAATTGGCAAACTTTATTTACCTTCTACCTAGTTATTATGTATATTAGATTATTTCAGTAATACTGTAATTTCTATTTTACATGTTAATTTTTACAGTTATTTAATTCAAATTTCAGGGCTGGACTTTATAGACATTGTCCAAAGGAATACCTGAAGAGTAAACTAGAAATAACAAAAATTCAATTTATGTGTAAATGATATTCTAAATCTAAATTATTCATCCAGAAAAACTGAATATCCATTTTCCCCATTCCTCCTTTATGATCCCATGTATGGCGGTCATACAAATTGTTTTTGATCAGTTACTGCAGATGTAGCTGCTTTATGGTTTTCATAAAATCTTTTGACCTAAACGTAAGAGCTAATGTTACAAGATCTTTGGGGTGTTGCTTTTCTGGCCAGGAACCTGTGGCTAGTGGCCAAAAACCTGTGGCTGGCATGAATGCTGGCTCTCTGTGAGGCTGTGGCTGGACCAAGTGCACCCCAAGCAGCTTCCGGCTGACACTGGGGAATGTGGTGGCACCTGGAAACTTGGAGATGTCAGGACTCACAGGGCCCCAAAGAGGGAGTCACAGCTCTGGTTCAGGGGGCTCCCAGGTCTGAGCTCCCTGAAGGGCTGCAGCTTTTTTCTCTTTCTCTTCACCAGCAATGTGGTGGGTAAGGGTCATGTTTCAGCCCTATTTGCCTTACAGCTCTTTTAGTTTTGCCATTTGGCAGGTCCTGAGTTCTTGTCCTGCAACAAGGAAGAATGAAATACACAGGGTGAGTGTGAGCAAGGTGAAGAGGAGCATTATTGAGCAATAGAACAGCTCAGAGAAGCCCTACAGTGGGCAGCTCCTCTCTGTAGCCAGGGTGTCCTGACGAGTGTTCAGCTTCTAACAGAAAGGGTAACTCCTCTCTGCAAGCAGGTCATTCCAGTAAATGTTCAGTTCTCAGGAGAGAGGGTAGCTCTCTGCAACTGGTCATCCCATCCTCTGCTCTGCTCTGCTCTGTCTGAGCCAGGGGCTTTTATGGGCCTCAGAGGGGAGAAAGTGCATGTGGATTGGTCCATGGGTGGCCATAGTTGGGCCTGGAAAAGGCAATACAAGTTCTAACTCTGGCCCATGGGTCTGGCATCAGCCTGGCCCCCAGCCTTCAGGCCCTCCCTGGCCTGAAAGTGGGGCCTCACTGGGGACCGACCCCTTTCACCCAAGAGCCTGTCTGCCAGATGCCTCTGTCCATGGTGCCCAGGCTATTTGCACCAAGGGGCACCTGCAGGCCAGTGCTGAGTCACCTTCAGTTCCCCCTCAGCTTACCCCATGCTCTTTGGTGACCAAAGTCTGGAGGGGGCTGAGGTGGAAAGGGGCTGATGTGTCAGTGCTGCCCCAGTGCCCCACACTGGCTGGGCTGTGGCAGTGCCTGGGCTTGGCCCCAACCCTTCTCAAAGATTAGAGTGGGCACCCAGAGTGGGGAGGGGCCAGGCAGCAAGAGCCAACACCCCTGAGCCTGCAGGGGTAAGGGGAGCCTGCCTGGGCCCCCAAGGGTGTAGACTGCAGAGATGCCCAGTCCTGTGCCTGGGAGGGCAGGGCTCCTGCCTGTTCTGTGGAGCATGCAGGAAGCCCTGGCTGCGCCTCCTCAGAGCCTGGGGCAGGGGCCCCAGGTTCTCACTGGGACCCTCTTTGCATACCCTTTCATGCCTGACCGCGCTGCTCCCCGACCAGTGGGCAACTTGGTCCATCCCAATCATGATGGCCCCCAGGGCTTCTCTGGGGACTCCTACTTGTCCCTGGCTCCTGCCAGCTCTGTGGAGCGCAGCACCACCCCAGACCCAGCTCTGCCTCCTCCTGTGCCCTCCCCACAGTGGCCAGCATGACAACAGCAGCTGCTCCGGATGGCCCACTGCTGCCATCACTAATACTATGAAACCTGTGATTGACAATATATGTATCTGCTTTTGTGGCCTTAGGTCAAATAATACAGTCTAAGTTATCACACAAAATAGAAGTGATAGAAGCAGGAAGAATAAATTGAACTTCAACAGAATTTAAAACTTTCGTTATTCAAACTACACTATCAAGACCACCCAAATAATAGTGATAGCCACAGGAGGCAGACAAATTCCTAGGCAGACGGGGATGGGTTCTCTGGTGAAAATTGACCTTCAAGCCAAGGACAGTCTGAAGCCTGAAAACCAAACTACCAGTTCTGGAGAGAGTCCATGGACCAGAGTGAGAACTTCTATTCATGCTTGCCCACTCTTTACTGATTGGTTTTTTGGAATAATGCTTTTTAACCAATCAAATGTTGCCTTTCCCAAGACTACCTACAGCCTGCACCTCCTCATTCCAAACCCATAAAAACTCCCGGACTCAGCCTCACAGTCGGCTACCCACTTTGGGTCCTGTCTCGTTGTTGAGAGCTTTTCTGTTGTTCAATAAAATTATTCTCTGCCTTGTTCACTCTCCAGTGTCCACGTTACTCATTCCTCCTGGTCGTGGGACAAGAACCTGGAACTCACTGAATGGTGGGATTAAAATGAGCTGTAACACTTCCTTCTGCTCACCGAGAGAAACAGCCACTGAGTGCCACTCCCTTCTGCTCACCAAGCTGGAAATAACGGGAATCAAAGGGCTGGTAACATGCTCCTGCTGGTTGGACTATAGGAGAAAGAGAGCTGTAATATGCCGCAGCTCACTGAGCTATGAGCTACAGGAGTGAAGAGCTGCAACATTCCTGTGGGGCTCAGACCTCAGGGCTCCCCAAGCAAGAGCTGTAACACCCCTTGGGGCTTTGCAACTGCTGTCACCTCCGTTTTCAGGTGCCACCACATTCCCCTTGTCTGGATGCTGGCCCCCAACCGGAATTCACTTATGGCACTCCCAGTCCAGCTGCAGGCTGAGTGGGGAGCCACAGGGGCCGTGGGATCTGGGCTGGGGCGAGAGCAGAGCACAGCGTGCCGGGCTGAGTGGGCAGAGCGAACCCAGTGGGTCTGAATGAGACCCGGGCAGAGGTGGCGATGGCTGCAGAGATTCCCGGCTGGCAAAGCAGCACTGAAGGAATCCTGTAACAATAGGAGAAAATATTTACAAATCATGTAGCTGATAGGGTCTATTGTACATAATCTGTAAAATATTCTTATAAGTCAAAGATATAAAGAAAAACATTCTAGTTAAAAGTGGACAAATTCTATGAATAGACATTTTTCCATAGAAGCTATACAAATGTACAATGCAAAGATGCTCAACAATATTAGTCCTCGATGAAATGCAAATCTAAACCGTCATGATACCCATTTCACAAATCCTAATGGCATATTCATAAGAAAACGAAGGCAGTTTGTAAAACAGCATACAAAACAAGTGCCCATCTATTAATTTGGAGTAAAATTACCCATAAAGTGTGTCTGCTCTTTGTTGCTTCCTCACATTTCAGGAATCTTGAACAAATGACTGCCCCTTCCCCAGGATAGTTTTTGGACTGTTAGCTTGGCCATCTCATCACTTGCATAGCCAGCATGCACTATTGTGTCTCATAGCCTTACCCTTTAGGAATGCTTGCTTCACAGGAGAATGTAGTCTTCAACGTAATCAACCTAGGGTTCAACCTAGACTTCTACACTTCAGGTCTTAAAGAAAGCCGACTCTATTTGTTGACCCTTGAATTAATTTCTGTCCTTTTCTGGCTTTTGTGTCTCTTGGTGGTTTCAGGTGAGAAAGTCCTCGCTTAACTCTGGTTAAGTAACCCATGTTCATCAGCCAGAACACTCAGCCATCTATTTACATATAAAGTATATCAGAGGACTGTCAAAGTCTGAGCCTAAAAAACAATGGACATGAATGTACATTTAAGCAATAGAAAATGGAGAAAATTATTGACTGAATCAACAAAAATAAAATTCTAAAAACACAAGCATGAGAACTTTCAAAAATACTTTGTTAGGTGATAAATAAAGGTTTCAATTTTCTTTCCAAGAGAACCTATTACAAAAATATATTCCACCTGGAGATGTATGTACAGTTTTCCTTAGTGGCATTTTTCATTTCATTGAAAGTAATTTTAGTAATCACTTATCAAATTACAAGAAAAGTATACATATCTATCTTATGGTTCACTTGTACAAAAATGCCATGTTTACCTTTGTGAAAGTAAGGTGGAAGGAATTAAAGTCTCCTGCCAAAGTTTATAGCTTTTGGGTCAAGGAAAAAGCAAACAATGTGATGTTCATACATGCACAGTAACATTGTGAGTAACATTGTGGCTGGCCTTTGCTTTAAAAATGAGTCTCAGTGTTTTATCTACACAAACCAATGCCTTTTTAACCTTTCACAATCACAACAGACTAAGTCATACAAACATTCACTGTTTTTATAAGCCTGAGGCTCTTAGCAAATTTTACCTTTTGGCTCTCAGAAAAGTCCAAGTAATTCTCCTTTTCAACCATAGGTATTTTATAGAAAATTTCTGGAAAACACTATAACAGAGAGTATGTAACACCTGTCTTTCCTAATAAAAGTGATATTTTTCATTTTATTAGGAAATTGTGATGCTTGAAAAAATAATTAGTAAGATATTATGAAAAATGACTATGAATACTTTAAATTAGGGAATGTTAGGGAATGAGAGGCATTAAAATATAATATGAAAATACAAATTTTGTTTTAGATGATTTTTATATGACCAAAAAATAAAGAAATTTTATACCGAGTGCTAAAAATATTTGCCTGCAAAAGAAAAAGCAAGAACACATATTACCAGGCAAAGTGTGAAATGATAGCAATGCTTGGTTAGCAAGCTAAAGTGATCACTGAACCAACACATTCTTTATAAGAAAGAATGTCTCTAGTCCCAGCTAATTGGAAGCCTGTGGCAGGAGGGCTGCTTGTGCCCAAGTGTTTGAGACCACCCTAGGCAACCTAACAAGACCCTTGTCTATTAAACAAATAAAAATGAATGTAATTTGCAAACTGACCACAGAAGGCTGGGGGCAGGAGGCATTCCCCATGCAGACTCCACAAAGAGCTGTCAGCTCAGCTGTGCCTGCTGCAGCCAAGCCATTGTTCAATGGAGTAGGACCAAGTCCACTGAGGCTTATCTGTGTGAGTAGGATGCAACCAGGGATGCCTCTTCAAAAACCTGCCAAGGATGGCTTTTTCTGGGGCAATAGAAAGTCCCTGAAGCTTCAGAAAGTAGGGAAAAACAAAGAGGAGGCATAGCATCTAATAAAATTCACTCAAAATGTACTAATAAAGCAGGAGTGGTGTAGATTCACAAAGATGTTAGAGACATAAGCATCAAAAACAGTGCTCTAAAGTTCAACACCCTCTTCTTTATTCAAAATACGGCTGGCAGTACTGGTAGGTGCAAGCCATGTGGGTTTTACTCTTCTCTTTCTTCATTACAGAATATTACAATGGTTAAGAGAATGGACCCTGGAGGAAAAATTCTTGTGTTATCTTAAGTCTCTTAGTAATTAAGTGTCGTTATTTGTACAGAGAAAGAAAAATAATCCAATGGAAGAAGAGAAGAGAGCACAGAAACAGACTAAAGCATATATGAGCAAGTAATTTATGAGAAAGACCAACAGGGAAAGTACACCTTTTCAATAAATGTTCTGGGAAATTTAACATCTATTTATGTTAAATAAAATGAGATGGAGAAATAAAGTAAGATGTTTGTTCTCATATTTCACAGAAAATCAATTTCAGCTTGATTATTGATATAAATACAATAAAAATTTAATACAAGATTTAGAACCTAACTTAGGAAAATAATGTCATGACCGTGGGGTAGGGTAAGTTCTTAAAATAGTTGTAGAAAGTATTTACCATTTAAGAGGAAAGATATTCTAACACAGTTGATGTGAGCGAGGACACTGGACCAGACTGAGTCAATCTCACAGTTCTTCTGTTCCTTTCATGGAGGACATTAGCGCAAGCTCAGAACTTGACTGTGGAAGTGTTAATATACACCATGGAATACTATGCAGCCATAAAAATGATGGGTTCATGTCGTTTGTAGGGACATGGATGAAGCTGGAAACCATCATTTTCAGCAAACTATTGCAAGGACAAAAAACCAAACACCGCATGTTTGGGAATTGAACAATGGGAACACATGGACACAGGAAGGTGAATATTACACACTGGGGCCTGTTGTGAGGTTGGGGGGAGGGGGGAGGGATAGCATTAGGAGATATACCTAATGTTAAATGACGAGTTAATGGGTGCAGCACATCAACATGGCACATGTATACATATGTAACAAACCTGCACATTGTGCACATGTACCCTAAGACTTAAAGTATAATAAAAATAAAATAAAATAAAATGCACTTCACCAAAAAAAAAAAATGCCTGCTTCTTGAGAAGTTGTGAGCGTTGAATGAACTAATAATACATACAGTGTGTAGAATAATAGCAGGTCTGCATTAACAACTAAGTCAGTATTCACTAATACTGACCAATTTTTTAAATGTAATTGCAACATGTATCATGTGCATCAATTGTAAAATGTACCATTACTTTATATGTCACAATGAAAGAAAACAATTGAGAAACTATCACATAGATATTTCTTAGCATTTAGGATACTTTTCTTATTATTCGTGAAAAAAGTTTCTTTCAACTTATGTAAATGTGGAAAAGGTAACCATTGTACACTGTTGGTGGAAATGCAAATTAATACAGACATTATGGAAAATGGTATGGGAATTCCTCAAAAAACTAAAATATAACTACCATATGATCCCACTATCCTACTTCTGGGAATGTAGCAAAAGGCATAGAATTCAGTATGCTGATATTTGTTTTATATCACTTCTATGATCACGTGAGATAGAAAATGAAAGCAAATTACATTAACAAAAATGCTCCTAAAATAGCTCTCATCAGATGAAAGCCTTCTGAAACACTTTTTAACTCCTCTTTTCCTTGATTTTTCCCACGTTAGCATCTTTTGTGCTAATTGGAAACTTTGGTTGTGCCACATTTCTTGGGAGAGTCCTGTGCTACTCTCTGTGAGATTATCTTTCTTACTTAGTAACAGTCCCTCTGCAAGTTGTGTTGATGGTACTGCCAGAGGTGTTAATGGAAGGATTTCAGACCAAGTTCTTGAATGTGTGCACAGTTGCAACCACATTATGGCTGCCTTCTGGTCAATAGTGTTTTTACAATATCAATATTAAGACATATATGTCTCTTTGAAAAAGTAAGAAAATGCGCACTGTAACATAAACAGAATACTCTGTTTTTTTCTGTGACTGCCCATTTCTCAGTGGTAAATCATTGTCCACATCTGCTGTATTATGGGCTATTACTGAGGAAATATGCTTCAATATGTTTTCATATAATTGAATAACTCTATTTTTGGCATAGTTATTATAGATATTAGAGTTATTAGTGTACTACTGGAATTCTTATTCAAAGTTTGGAGAGGTAATTTTATAAACTGTGATTCAAGGAATCCATTGAGGTGGAAGACAGAAATTGGAAAGGGTTACTTGAAAGTTTGTGGTGGAGCAGGAGCTTTCTAAAGACTTTTAGAAAAAGTAGTATCTTGAGGATTTCTGTCCTAAGCTTAAAAATATGAGTAATGTTTCTTGTAAGCTTTATTCCAAATTCAATTCTTCAACCCATAATATTTTTAAATCTATATTTTTCTTCTTTACCATTCATTCTTCTAATTGCATGGATGGTGATTATACACATCCCTCTATGATTGGTCACTGCAGAAGTAGTTTCATTGTGATTTCCATAACATGTTTTCCAGCCGGGTGAGGTGGCTCATGCCTGCAATCCCAGCACTTTGGGAGGCCGAGGCAGGCGGATCACGTGAGGTCAGGAGTTCGAGACCAGCTTGGCCAATATGGCGAAACCCTGTCTCTACTAAAAATACAAAATTAGCTGGGCGTGGTGGCACGCACCTGTAGTCCCAGCTACTTGGGAGGCTGAGGCAGGAGGATTGCTTGAACCCAGGAGGCGAAGGTTGCAGTGAGCCGAGATTGCGCCACTGCACTCCAGCCTGGACGACAGAGCAAGACTCTGTCTCAAAAAAAAAACAAAAACAAAACAAAAACAAAACAGATTTTCCTTGCCCTCCCCCTACAGCTTTGTATCTATCATCAGTCCTGTCTTAAGTCTGAGCACTTAGAGCTCTTTGACTCTTATTGTAATTGGCAAAACGGTCCACTTGCTTGAAATAAGTCAAAATAATAATGAGTTATGACAAGAAAGAGTCATATTCCTTTACTATTGGTGCCAGCAAGGGGAAGAGCCGAGAGCCATTGCACTCTTCAATTTGTGGAGGGAATGGAGGGGTTTTAAAGAAAGGGTTTGGAATGTAGAAGCAAGAGGGGCTAGGAGGTGCCATGGGGTGTGGCTTGCTCTGGTGGTCCTCCTGAATTATTGTCCCATTTGGCGAAGGGGCTGGCACGATCGTGGATCCTGCCAGCTTATAAATTAGTTGTAGTTAATTTTGTTGGCACTCTTCAGCAGGGTGTGGGTTCTGTCTTTGAAGTAATCTTTTGTTGGAAAGAGAATTCTGAAGGTGCCGGGTCCCTATCAGGATGTGACCCCTGAAACTTCTAAGGAAATATATGACCAGATAAGAGAGCAAGGCACGTGCTTAACAAGCATTTAGGTAAATAAAGGTGCAAAGGCATGGGAGTATAGTGTGGGGAAAAATAGAGAGTGGAGGTTCACAGCACATTCTGAGGCTGTTTTCAAGACAAAAGATAACATATATGTAGTTTGTCTCAAAGTTATATATTAAGACTCGGAAGGGAAAGAGGAAGAGGAAAAGAAGAAAAAAAGTTTAAAAGCAGTTTGAGGCTCAGCTGTGAAGGTGCTTGGTTACATTATTTGTCAGTTTAAGATGGGTCCCTCCTTGTCTATGTCTCCTGTGTCTCCTTCATGGCCTGCATCTCTGCCTTTTTATTTTCCTGGAGAGTTTGGAGAGGGATAGCATACAGGGTATAAACCGTAATGGACTATAAAATATGCACTGAAATAAAGAGTAAAATGGGATTTAACAAGTCACTGTGCTCTTATAGGAGCTTCTGTTATAATGAGCAGAATAACTGTCCATGAGGAATTTTAAGGTGAGGAATTAAAATGATATGAGTAACTTAAATAATTACGTCTTTTCTCAAGGAGTTAACTATGAGGTTGGAAGAGTGGGAAAATATCTTGAATTGCAAATACTCAAATAACAGCATCTAAATAGCTGTTATCCAGGTCTCAGAAGTGAGAAATGTGGTCCAGGTCAGCTATACCCCTATCAAAAAGCCAAGCTGGCTTTTCAGTTGCTGTAATTGGCAAGCTGATGGTAAAATTGACATGGAAATGCAAGAGATATATAAAAGACAAAGCAATCTTCAAAATGAAGAACGAAGTTGGTGTACTCAACTCCTCACTCATTGATTTCAAGGCTTACTAAAACCTGATAGTAACCAAGACATGGTAGAGAGAGATGAAATACAGATTATACATCATAATGGACTATAAAATATGGTAAACTGATTTTATAAGGTTCCCAGGTCATTTCAATATGAAAAAAGTCTTTTTCAACCAATGTTGCTGGGATTAGTGGATACTTAAATGAAAGTTGGACTCCTCCCTGAAGCCATATGTCTGATTGATTCAATCTGGATCATATACCTAAATGTAAGTGCTAAACAATGTTTTTAAGATTTGACACCAGAAGCACAAGGGAGAGAAGAAAAAAATAGATATATTCATCTTAATTATTTGTGATTAAAATTACACTATCAAAAGTAAAACAAAAACCCCAAAAATGGAAGAAATTTTGTAATTCATTTAGCTGATAAGGTTCTGTTCTCCAGAATACATTAATAATCTCCAGAATACTTTAGGAGGCCGAGGCAGGCAGATCTTTTGAGCCCAGGAGTTCAAGACCAGACTAGGCCACATGGCAAAACCCAGTCTCTACAAAAAAATAGAAAAATTAGCTTGTGTGGTGGTGTGCACCTGTCCCACCTATTCAGGAGGCTGAGGCGGGAGGATCACCTGAGCCAGGGGAGGTCGAGGCTGCAGTGAGCTGTGATCACACCACTGCATTCCAGCCTGGGCAACATAGTAAGACCTTGTCTCAAAAAAACAAAATCAACTCAAGGAGGCAAACATACAAATTAAAAATGGGCAAATTATTTGAATAACCATTTCTTGTTGGATGAGCATATGAAAGGTTGTTCAGTGCCTTTTGACATAAGGATTTCAAGTAATTTTGTAGGTAATCTGCCCAAAGAGGTGGAGCATGATTTTCTACTTCTTAGGTATGTGCTGTGAATAGCAACTTCTTTTTAAATATACAGCATGGAAACGGTGAAATGAGAAACTTTACAGCAGAGAAAATAAGAACTACATCATCCAAGTGATCAAGGTAACATCAGCAGTGATAAAGCCTATTGATAGACCATCCCTTCAGGTGATGGGATGAGAGTGACACTTTCCCTCTGTGTTCTTGTTCTTCTTCCCCCAAACTCCTAACTTCTGTCTAATCAGGAGAAAAACATTAGAGAAATTCCAAATTAGCTGTGTCAATATTATTAAAAGTAAGGAAAGTCTGAGAAATTGTCACAGGCATAGGAGCCCAAGGAGACATGACATCTAATGTGAAAAGGTGTCCTGGGAGGCATCCTAGAATGGATAATAGACGTTAAATGAAACCCAAGGACATCTGAATAAAGTGCGGATGTTAGTGAGTGATAACATATAATATTTGTTTGTTAATTGTGACAAATATGGCCGGGCGTGGTGGCTCACGCCTGTAATCCCAGCACTTTGGGAGGCCGAGGTGGGCAGATCACAAGGTCAGGAGACTGAGACCATCCTGGCTAACATGGTGAAACCCTGTCTCTACTAAAAATAAAAAAATAAAAAAATAAAAATTAGCCGGGCGTGGTGGCGGGCGCCTGTAGTCCCAGCTACTCGGGAGGCTGAGGTGGGAGAATGGGGTGAACCCGGGGAGGCTGAGCTTGCAGTGAGCCGAGATTGCACCACTGCACTCCAGTCTGGGCAACAGAGCGAGACTCCATCTCAAAACAAAAAACAAAAAACAAAACAAAACAAAACAAAAGACAAATATGTCCCACTAATATAAGAGGTTAATAATAAGGGAAACTGTTTGCGGGACATATATACACTCTCTGTATGATATTCACAACTGTTCTATAGATCTAAAACTATTCCAAAGTAAAAGTTTATTCCTATGGTCACTGCGAAGCTGCATAGAAAGGTTATTAGCAATATTGTTGATGTTCCCTGAGAGCATTCCCAAAATTTTATCCTCTTTCTTCCTTGCTGAAGGTAACTATTATTTTGAATTCTATATTTGTCTTTCTCTTTAGTTTTTATTTATTATTTCTCTAAGTTTGCATTTCAAATTAATATCTTGCTCAATTTTTTTGTCTTCAAACTTAGATCAATGCAAATGTTTAATGTAACCCTTATTTGCAGTCTAATCATGAGAAATCACCAGACAAATCCATGTTTGAGGCAGCTTCAAAATGTCTGACTGGTATTTTTCTAAAGGCATCAAGGTCATGAAAAATAAATGAAGACAGAAAAGATTTCATACTGGAGAAGACCTGAGCTGCAAGGTGGACTTTAGGATGCTTCCCAATGATCCCCACCTTTAGGTATACACACTCTGTATGCTAACCTCCTCCCTGTGAGTGAGTGTGGTCAGAAACTGTGATTGCTTTGAAACAACAGAATACTGTCAAGGTGGTGGCATATCACATTGGGCATCATGTTACATAAGATCGTGATTTCTATCTTGCTAGCAAACTCTTTCTTGATAAATTTAAAGAATCATTTTGCAATGTGGAAGAATTTTCCAGTGGGCAAGGCCACTATGGGAAGAAATTAAAAGTCAACTTCTGGCCAATAGCCAGCAAGGAACTGAGGCTTTTGGTCCAACAGCCTGCCCTACAGTTTGCAATTTACTTAAAAAGTAATTTGGAGGCCAGATGTGTTGGCTCATAACTGTAATCCCAGCACTTTGGGAGGCCCAGGTTGGGGGACCACTTGAGGTCAGGAGTTCGAGACCAGCCTGGCCAACATGGTGAAACCCTGTCTCAACTAAAAATACAAAAAATAGCCGAGAGTGGTGATGTGCACCTGTAATCCCAGCTACTCGGGAGGCTGAGGCAGGCGAATCGCTTGAACCCAGGAGGCGGAGGTTGCGGTGAGCTGAGATTGTGCCACTGTACTCCACCCTGGGTGACAGAGCAAGACTCTGTCTCAAGAAAAAAAAAAGTAAACCAACCCCCTTTTTAAATAATACTATAGATGTTCACAGGTAGTGTGAGTATCTTACTATAAAGAAAATTAATCCTATTTCTTCCCTTCTGTCCTTTATATTATTTCTGTCATTCATTTCACTTATATATACTCATACATGCATATATATAAATATAGATAATCTTGTATTATATATTTGTATATGTTGTTGCTATTATTATTTTGATAAACTATTATTGTGTTAGATCAATTAAGAATATGAAAAATAAAAGATTTTACTAAAGCAACCACTAATAAAAGAAAAAAAGAAGTATAGCATATATGCTAAGAAAGGAAAGAAAATAGATTATATAAAATGTTGAAATAAAATGATAAAAGGCAAAAAATAAGTGGAAGGCAAAAATAGGGACAAAGGCTGGGCTCCGAGGCTCATGCCTGTAATCCCAGTACTTTGGGAGGCTGAGGTGGGAGGATCACTTGAGGCCAGGCGTTCACAACTAGCCTGGAAAACATAGTAAGACCCCATCTCTAAATATATATGCCACTATATTCATATATATGCCAGGTGTGGTGGCAGGCACCTATAGTCCCAGGTACACACAAGAGGCTGAGGCAGGAGGATGGCTTGAGCCTAAGATTTCCAGGCTGCAGGGAGCCATGATCTCACCACTGCACTCCAGCCTGGGTGACAGAGTGAGACCAAGTCTCTAATAACAACAATAATAATAAAATGGGGACAAAAAACAAGAGCAACAAATAGAAAACAAATAACAAATATAGTAGATTTTGACTAAACTATATCACTAATTACTTTGAATGTCTAAATGCATCAATGAAAAAGCAGATTGTCAGAGTGGATCAAAAAACAAGACCCAACCACTGTATATATTGCCTATAAGAAACATACTTAAATATAAAGACAAGTATAAATTAAAAGCAAATGGCTGGAAATATATCATGCTAAGACTAATTAAAGAAAGCAAGAGTAGCCAAATTAATTTTAGATAGAGAAGACATCAAAGCAAGCAAAATTACCAGGAATAAAGAAGGATATGCTATAAATATGAAGGGCTCAATTTTCCAAGATACAACAATCCTTAAGTTGTATGCACCTGACAACAAAGCCTCCAACTATGTGGGAGGAAACTGACAGAATTGCAGGAGAATGAGATGAGTCCACTATCATAATTGGACACCTCAACAGCTCTAGAAGAAATGTACAGATTCAATGGGCAGAAAATCAGTAAGACAAAGTTGATCTCAACAACATCTTCAATCATCTGGGCATAATTTACATCTATGGACAACTTTATCCAACAATGGACAGAATATAAATTTTTTGCCAGCCCACATTGACGACTCAAGATAAACCACATTCCGGACTGTAAAACATATCTTAACAAAGTTAAAAGACTAGAAATTTTATCACATCTACCCTCAGACCACAATAGAATTAAGCTAGAAATAAATAACAAAATAACAACAAAACAATAACTGGAAAATCCCAAAATGCTTGGGGATTAAATAATGCATTTCTAAATAAGATAGAGTTCAAAAAAATAATCTCAAGAGAGACAAAAAATGGAACCAAATGCAAATGAATACACAACTTATCAAAATATGTGGATTCAAGGAAAACAGAGATTGGAGGGAAATGCATAGCATTGAATGCATATATTAGAAGAGAAAAAATATAAATTCAATCACTTAAGTTTCCAACTTAGGAAACTGGAAAAGGAAGAGCAAATTAAATCTAAAGTAAGCAGAAGGAAAGATATAATATTGCAAAGACAGTAGATGTGCCATAGAAAGAATGAAGTTAAAAAAAGTTACAGTCTGAGACAGGAAAGCATCATAAGGTCTGTAGGAGAATAGTAAAACACATGGAGGAGGAACAGGCAGACCCAGATGGGGGAACATGTGTAGGGCCTAGGAAAACATCCTGTAAAAGTGCCCCCACCAAGGCCCACCTTGGCTCACTGCCTCTTCAGCATGCCTTTTGCTTGCCACACTGCTCTCTCCCTTTGGGTCCCCTGTCTTGGGCAGCTGCAGATCCCGCTTATTTGCACTTCCTCGTAGGCAGCAATCAGTTTCAGATGTTTAGACACCACATGGCCATAAGCCGACTGCTTTGAGTTTTCTGATCCATGGATCCCACCTATATCTGCAAAATGACTGCAGGGACAGGAACTGTACTAGGGGTGTAGTGGAAGGTTTGAGCAATGGACAAAAGGACATAAACAGGATCATCCAAGGTCCCTGAGCCTGCTACTCCATGAGCATGGGGGTCCTCTCTGTCCCTCTCCACCCTCGCTCCTCCCAAAACCTAATCCCACAGAGGCCTTCTCAGTGGGCAGGGACCACTCTCACTCCTGACTGTCATCCTGGCATGTAGATCTCATGGGCAGGGGTAACATTTAAACAAATAGGACCCAGACATTCAAATCCCTCCATGCAGAATGCATTCCTCAGGGAGCTGCCCCTGCATCACTCCCTGAGAGGCCTTCTCTCCCCTGCCCTGTACTACTGTGGTCTGCCTTTCCTGCTCCCACCTCCTCATATATCAGTGATCCCAGTGGTCCTTCCAATCCACTGCCTTCTCATGGCATGGCCTGTGCCACGGACACACTTTCTCCTCTTCTTTTCTCCCCTGTTTGCTAGACTCACTGCTCCTCACTCTCCAGCATCTCCTCCATGCTCCTCCTCCTGGAGGCGTCCCTTGTCCATCCCATCCCAGGCCTGGTGCCTGTCCCCTGAGTTCCCAGGGGCAGCTCTTCCATCTACGGTTTAGTTTTGGCTACATTTTCTGAATCACTACTGGACCAAAATGTAGGAGAAAATGGAAACGTTGTATATGTTGTTCCCTTGAGAAATGCACGCATGTAGTGGACAAAGAGCAACACAGAAAAGTTTTCTTTATGCTGAATTTCACAAATTAATGAGTTTTCCTTTATGTTGAATTTCACAAATTCTTACTTTCATTTTCATGTGTATAAAACTTATGCCTTTATAATTCTAGAATGCCTTTTCCAGCAAGTGTAAAATAAGACTATTATGTTTATAGTTTAATTGAAAGATATATTTCCTTTTAGATCCATCTTAAATCTTTGATTCACTGACTTCCAGTGGACGACCTTCACCTGGACTCCTACAGGTGCTATGCATACACCAATTCTGACCTTCTATTCTGAGAGCCCCCAACTAAACTGGGGTTCCCATACCACAGCAGCTAACAACCCTGCCCTTATAGGAAATAAAGGGGATTTGGACATGGGCATTTACAATAAGCCTTTCACAGGATACTCCTTTACATGGCAGATGTCCTAATGCCTGTGCCTAATGCCTTGTTCGACCTGTGACCAGGTGTCCCTCCCATGGGAAACTTGCTTATTCCTGCAGACACCCTTGTGGCTCCTTCTGACTTGTGTCCAGTTTGTTGCTGCCTAAACAAAGTTCTGGTGCTGGCAGCCCAACCTTGTGTTCTCCTCAGCATCCCAGAGAAAAATCTCCCTGAAGTAGCCCCTGGTTCCTCCAAAGGAATGTGCAAATTCAATCCACTGACAAAATAGGAAACAAGTCCAAAGATTTTTACTTAAGAGACCTTGGGCAGGGAGGGCACCATGAGTCAGAAGGGCAGTCATCCGTTCCAGGATGAGAGAGAGAGAGAGAGAGAATAAGAGAATGAGGAAGGGAGGGGTAAAGAGAAAGCATGGTGACTAGCAGTCTATATAAGAGAATAGGGTGTGAGTCACTTTAAGTTCACAGGTAAATGTCTGAGAGATGCCTCTAAGTCCCTATCTCTGGCCATGGCTTAAGCCACTTAGGTGTGCTATTCTACTGCTAATGCCCAACTTTATGACCTTTTCTATGTCATTCTTGTTACCATTGACCACACGATGTCTAGGTATTAGAGCTTGTGTATGCGGAGGTATTTTTGAACAGTGGAAACATCAAAGGCCAACAGGGAAATCTGAGTCAGGCACTGAGTAAGGTATTTGATGAGCACAATGAAATGATAAGTGATATGAAAGCATGGCCCCAAATCCCATGCATAGCCATCCACTCCACTGTGTAGGGTGGAGCCATGTGAACAGATCAAACCCTTTACCCAGAGTCTTGGTGGGAATGTTGTTGTAAACCCGGGTAAAGTCATGAAATACCTACATCTGTTTAGTCATGGCTTTTAGATTAGCTGGTATTTGGCCAGGGTTATTTATGTACATGTAGTAGGTTATTCCCAAGATGGTACAGACTCCTCCCCTTAACCTATGGGCAGGAGGTGATCTATGATGAGGTGATTATTTGATCCCATCTGGGACAGACTCCATTGATTCTTACATCAAAGTGAGGCTGTGCAGTAACAGATGTGTGTGTTCTGCTAGTGCAGCTGACACATTTGTATTGGTCTGGATGATTTACTGTTGCATGGACAGAGCAGTGGTGCTCACCACAGTCCCTGCCCGTTAAAGTAACAATCCCCTCCCCAAGAGTGTGGGGGTAAAAACAGCCCGCCTTTGTCATAATGGGTGTGGCATGAACCAAGGTTGGAAGTATTGGCTAGTTAAGTGCAAGGGAAGGCCCAGGATACTAAGACACATTTGAAATTACAGACTTGAGTCTGAGCTCCGTTGTCACCCTTTCATTGAGGAAAACAAAAGCAGGGCTGTGGGAATAAGTGGGTGTAATGAATTCCAAGTTCCACAGGATGAAAGTATATTTCTGTGGATGCATGAGGGAACCCTAAGATGTGTTTTATTACCCCTAGGCCTCAAGAGGTGGTGGCTTCTGAACCCCCAAGTGTCCCCAAGTTGCATTAAATCTGGGGCTGATATGTAAATATGTGAACTATGCTTGGCGATGTGGAGGGGCAAATAGCAACATGTGTGCTTTGGACATAGAGCAATTGGGCTGCAACTTAGGGTCATGTGTGAGCAGGAGAGATGTCCATGGTGCCTATAGTTAAGCCAAGTTGGGAAGAATAAGACTACATGCTAAAGTAAGCCTGTAACTCAGGGAGGCGCTTTGGTGTGGTCTAATGGCAGGCCCAGCAATTCCATCTCCTGAGATGCGTGGCCCCCACTTAGCCACCATGTTAAGATACAGGGACAATCAGGCTCCCAAGGAGAAGCGGAGGTAGAGGGGCCTGGGTAGTCTTCAACTCTGATGGTGTGGATCACCAACATTTGGGGAGACCCCTTGGGATGTACTTAAGATTAATAGGGAAGCTGGTGAAGTGGGAGATGGAGAGGTTGGTGGGGCAGTGGGGGGAATAAATAACTGTTCCAAGAAAGGCAAAATGGTTCCACCACAAGAACACACAGAACTCCGCTTAGTGGGGGAGTGTGGTTGCACGGGGCTGGTTAGGTTAGTAGGGGATCCACGAGGCTGTCGGCAGGCACAGCTACCTTAGTCGGCCAAAGCTGGTTAATAGCAGTAAAGAGCAACCCAGCAGGTGTCAGGGAGCCGATTGGTAGAATCACAGTCAGTGATGTAAACCAGGGGCCCTGGGGTAGGCAAAGCATTAGCTCAGCAAAATGCCACTCCAAGGGTCCTCACCAGGAAATTTAGGAAGGTAACTTTTGAGTTCTGTAGCCAAGTAGTGGGGGGATCTGTCAATTGCCAGTTGTTTTGTCTTTCTGGAAACCTTTGTAGCTAAGTGTTATGCTGTACAGTGTCATCTCGGGCTGGAGTGATGTCATCTGGGACATTGTTATCTCTGGTGGGGTGACCTATAGCCCTCCCAGGTAGCAGCCCTATATGGGAAGGTGGGGACTTGGGGGTCTGGTGTGACCCAATATATTTGGAAAGCCCTGAGCAGGCTTTGCTCACCTTGTTGGGGTCAATGACTAGAATCACAGATTATAAGTAATTGCTGTGGATCCTTAGGGTACATCGTGAAAGACTTGAGTGGCACTTTTTTTCTGAAGTGTAGGCTGTTTCCATCCATGGTTAGTATAAATTGGAAGTGCATGCATGACCTTGGGCAAAAGAGAGCATAGTGACTTGTTTTGGGCAGTTGAGTGTCTGACCTCAGGTGAGGATGGATGGTTCAGGGCTGCATGGTGCAACCATCCAGTTGGGGTTGAAGTGAGGTTATTAGCTGGGCGTCATGCTGAGATGAGTCTCTAGGACTGTTTGCAGAGGTTGGGTCAGTGTTAAACACTGGTGCTTTTGGTTCCATTTAATTGGTTGTAATTGCCCTGTCTGTATCCAGTCCTGGTGGCAGTGGAGATGCAGTACCTCTAGGACTGCCTTCCAACAAAGACTCTTTTCCCATCTTGGTGTAAAATTGCTTCCCAAGACTGTTTGGTTCCAACAGCTCTCCACAGGGGCCTGACTGGAGTGTTCTTTTCAAATAGGTACCCACTCAAGCTGATGTGGGCCTCAACATTTGTCATGTTTGGTTGAAACCATGGTTTACTGGAGGTTTTGGGCCTCTGGATTGTAAATCAATAAAAGCACCCAAGCCAGTAGTAATAAAGCCAGCAACAAACAGAATAGTGCGCAGCTGCACCTTACAGGGTTGTGCTTTGGGTGGAAATTTAGGTTCACACGGGTCCCAAATCACATGAACAGCTGCCTGGCCTATGGGATAATCTATATTTAGTGAGTCCCAGAAGGTTATGTATCCTCGATCTGGCTTCCAGCCTTTATGGAATGGGAATTAGATAAAAGTTATTATAAAGTAGATTAATGCCTGTGGCAAACTAGAGAATTCTAGGCGTTTCTTTGTGGCATTGAAATTTGAAAAGGGCTTCTTTGATGACACCATTGTATTTCTCAATTAAATAAGTTATTTGGTAACTATAAGGGAACGAAAGTTCTATTAACAGCCTTTCTGAAGAGCCCAGCATGCTGTTCTAAGAATTGAAATGTGTGTTTTGGTTACTCTCAGTAATGTGACTTTGAGGGGAATAAGGAGTGTTCTAGAGTGGTCTTGCATTGTGGCCTCAGTATATAGGTGGAGGTGTAATTTTGATTTATATTTTGGGTGTCTCTGAGGCCACAGAGTCCTAGAGGTTTGTTTGTATTTTGCCTTCACAGGGACAACTTTCAGGTTATGGCTAAATAGTTTATAAAAATGTGAAGATGGCATCATTTTTTGACAAGGGCATCCGGTGCTAAGATGGCTGCGTAAGCTCGGTCATGTACATCATTTCTTGGGTCCAGTTCTTTATCAGAGACATCCTGGATAAGAGATTGGAAGTATTCTAACAGCAAAATTTGGGTAAATTTTAATTGTTGGTGGTAGTAATGGTAGATGTTTGCCTGTTCACTTTCTTTAATTTGAAGCACTAATTCTCCACCGAGCTCCATAGGATGGTCAGCAGTGCCATTCACATACTTTACCAACTCCCATTAATGTTCACTTAGGGAATCCCAGGGCACTCATCTGGTAGTCAAGGGGTCTGAGGGAGAGGTGAACACCTCTAGAGCCCTGGAATCTGGCAAGGGACTGAAGACAGGGGAAGCCACACCCTCCTGCAGGTGGCACTTATGGGAGGGCCCGGATTTGGCTTCCTCCTGCCTTAAAGAGGCCTCAGTAGCTGTGCTGAGCTTGAGCGGGTCTGTTTCTATCACCCAAAGCATAGTGGGCAGCTGGGTGTGGAGTCCCAGGCCCGGGATCTGTGAGACCCTCTATTTCAGGAGAGCCCAGCAGGTGATGGGTCATGTTTTGTTTTAATGGGCTGTAGCACAAAGCCCAGTGGGGCAATTTCTTGCATCAGAAGCCCTGTAGCAACTAATCTTCATTATGAGTGGTCAAGAGACTCCAGAAGGCATTTATAAAAGATTGTCAAAACCTCTACAGCAAGCTTGTTTGACCTGTGGCATGTGGGCCACATGTGGCCCAGGACGGCTTTGACTGTGGCCCAACATAAATTTGTAAACTTTCTTAAAACATTATAACCTTTTTTTGCTATTTCTTTTCAGCTCATCAGCTATTGTTAGTGTTAGTGTATTTTATGTGTGGCCCAAGACTGTTCTTCCAATGTGGCCCAGGGTAGCCAAAAGATTGGACACCCCGCTCTACAGTAAGTAATTTTTAAGAAATGTTGAGGTTACTAAAGATAATAATACATTTTATTATTTTTCTTTTCCCCTACCCACCCGTATCTAGGAGTTTTTCATAAGTCCATAAAAGTAATCTAAGACTAGCATTATGTTTGCTAAAGTTGGAGTTTGCTCACATAAAGTTTCAAGTTCCGCTCTTTTTTTCTTGGACTTGTAGCCACCTAAAGGGGCAGTCTCTCTCCCTCTGTCTCTCTCTTTCTCTGCTAGGCCACCTGAAGCTGAGGTTCTCAGTTTCTGCCTCTGGCTGATAAGAGGAAGAGGGAGGAGGAAAGAGGTCCAGTGTCTCTAAGCAGCAGCAACTCTCCTGGACAACCCCCACTGCAAAAAAAGCAGTCCTTTGTTGATCTTTTTTTTCCTTTTGAGTAAAATCTTTAGAATGGCTTGTATTTCTATGTGGCTAAAAATGACTTTTTGTTCCTCTCTGTCTTCAGATGTTTACCTGACAAGCTCCTGAGCACCTGGGAGTGTCAAGTAGCTTCTATTGTAAGCACGGGTCTCCCTTTTTGGTGCCCATTTCTTGGTCCTGCTGATTATCTTTGGTCATTTTGATTTGGTGGGTAGTGACCAGGACACCTGGGGACGAGGCTGCCTCCTCCCAGACTCATAAATGCTACCTCCCATTCCAGGGTGTCCCCACTGACCTCTGAGGGACCAGGGTCAACATGCAGCAGTGTGATCAATTAAAAAAAAATCATTATTAGAGTTGGCTCCTGAGCTCCAGGCTGCAGCTCTAGAGCTTTGCACAATGACTGGCAGTGGCATTGTGTACAGCCCAGGCAGCTTCCTTGGGAAATTTGTATTTATCTAAGCCCTGTTTGACATCATCTACTGTCTATGGTGGGGCAAGGACTGGCTGAGCAGGGCATTTGTATTTGCCCATCAGAGCCGTAGGCACATTGTTCCAGGAATTCGACTCATGATACCCTATGGGGTCGGGGTACGCGTGGCAACAGAAGCAAGGTGTGCAGCAACATAATTGGGCTTGCCTGGCAGCGTATCTCCCTGGTGATTCTGCCTCCTTCAGGAGTCAGGGCTTGCTTTACTTACCCTTTTTGCTGTCACAGCTTCAGTCCTGACATTGACACAGTGGGCCCAGCAGTTGGCTTCTCTAACCAGCACTATCTAGGGGACTCTCCTAGGCTCCCAGGAGGTAGAGTCCATGCCTGGCTTTGTCCAAAGAGTGGAGGTGAGCACTACCATCCTCTTGAGCGCTCCTTGGCGCGACTTTGTCTGTGTGCTGTGCACCAGCCAATTAATAACGTTCAGACTTTCCCCCAGGTCGTCTCTATGAGAGACTATCAGGAAACACACCTGCCTTGCACTGGACACCAGTGGTCAGACACCACAGGGGAATCTGTTTCACAGTGTTGACAGTTTTGTGTGAGAACACAGCAACACTGGCAATAGCATTTACATACCACTGGCAAGCAGTGCTGGCTTCCCAAAGTGACAGGGCCACGGGGGAGAGGCAGTTACTGAGCCATTTGCAGCTCATAGGCATCATGGAGGTGTACAACTGAGCCAACCGTCCCATCCTCACTGACTATTGTTTTGATATGCCCCAGCTAAGCTGGGGTTCCAGTATCAGAGAGGCTAGCCACCCTGCCCTGACAGTACATAATGGGGAACTGGATGTGGGTGTTTATACTGTGTCTTTCACAGGCTACTTCTCTTACCTGGTAGACGTTCTAACGCCTAGCTGTAAGACCTGTGACCAGGTGTCCCTTACATGGAAAACATTGATACTGGCAGACACCCTTGTGGCTCTTGTCTGACCTGTGTCCAGTTTATTCCTGCCTGACCATGGCTTTGATGTTGGGAGCTCAACCTGTGTTCTCCTTAGTGTCCTGGGGAAAATCTGGTCTAGGGTAGCCCCCAAAACAAATAAGTTCAAAGATTTTTACTTACAGATCCTGCCAGGAAGGGCACAATGAGTCAGGAGGGCAGTCCTCCATCCTACGGTCAGAGAGAGACAAAGAGAGAAAGAAAGCGAGGAGAGCGGCAGCTGGGGTATATATTAGGAAATAATGGGTATGTTACTTCAAGTTCACGGGCAAATGCCTGAATGGCATGTTTAAAGAAAGCAGCAGGAAGGTGGAAACTCAGCCTGCTAGGTGACAGAGATGCCTCTAAGTTCTTATCTCTGGCCACTAGTTTTAGCCATTTGGGTGTGGTGTTCTACTTCTAATGCCCAGGCAGCAACCTTTGTTGTGTTGTTGCTATTACACCTCCCTTTTAATGTTACGTGGGTCAGTTAACTTGTCTGTCTCTATGGGTTTGACTCACATCTCTTTTTACACGTCTTAATATTGCCTAGTAGAAACATACAGTTCGGAGTACACTTATGGTGGATTCATTGCACAAATGAACCAAAATGTCATCAAGAAACTAATAGGGACTAGATATTCCTTATGCCATGTGAAAACAAAAAATTCACAGGTATAGGAATCCATGGTTTGCAAATGCCTGAACATTTTTTTTTTTAAAAAAGGACAGTTATCCCTGAGAGATGAGAAATAGTGATGTGAGTCCTACTGTAGCCTTGGGTTATGGTTGAGTTTCCAGGCTGTGGGTGTGGCAAGGACCTTGGAAGACACTCGAGTTGAGAAGGTGGAACTGAGAGTCTGGAGAACAAGGTGGCTGAGTTTCATCAAGCCATTCTCCATGTCCAGTGCTAGGAAGGGGAAAGAGTATTCATGCCAGCTGCCATGAGATAGCTTTGCTATGTACCATCATCACTGATGTGGCACATGGATCAAAGAACTATGGAAAAAATCCAGACACAAGAAGAAGCCATTTGGGTGAACTTAGCCTTCAACAATTTTGTCTTATTCTTGACCACAAAAAGGCAACTTTATATGACACTGCCATCTTGCATTTTCCTGCAAGCAGTATGATGAAGTTCATATCTGCACAGTGAAGAAGTGGCTGGTGTCTGCATTTCTTGCAAGCAGTACAATGAAGTTCATATTTGTACAGTAAAGAAGTGACTGGTGTCTGCATTTAGATGATGTCTACATCTCAGTGTTCTGTCTATATAAGTTAATGCCTTTGTGAATCTCTCAAAATTAGAATAAGCTAGGCCATACAATGAAAACATTCAGAGCTCTTTTAAAGCAACAGGCTGTGGATACATTTTGCCTTGTGACTGCTAGACAAGTCTCTTCTTCACAACCAGAGGTATTTCAGAGGATATTTATGGCAAATACAGAGAATATGTACCATCTGTCTTCCCTAAAACAAGTGATATTTCCATTCAATTTAGGAAAGACTGATGCTTGAAAAGATGAAAATGATTAAAAAGCGATTTTGAAAAGTTATTACGGTAGCATTATTAAATACATTTTATGGTAGCATTATTAAATACAAAAGGCATTAATATATGCCTTTTGGTATGGTAGCATTATTAAATACATTTATGGTAGCATTATTAAATACAGAAGGCATTAATATACAATACAAAAATAAAACACTGTAGATAAAGTTTGTATGGCCAAAAAAAATTAATAAACAAATGTTAAAAATATTTTCAAATTTTAGGCATGGGCAAGGACTTCATGTCTAAAATAGCAAAAGCAATGGCAACAAAAGCCAAAATTGACAAATGGGATCTAATTAAACTAAAGAGCTTCTGCACAGCAAAAGAAACCACCATCAGAGTGAACAGGCAACCTACAGAATGGGAGAAAATTTTTGCAACCTACTCATCTGACAAAGGGCTAATATCCAGAATCTACAATGAACTCAAACAAATTTACAAGAAAAAAACAAACAACCCCGTCAAAAAGTGGGTGAAGGATATGAACAGACACTTCTCAAAAGAAGACTTTTATGCAGCCAAAAAACACATGAAAAAATGCTCATCATCACTGGCCATCAGAGAAATGCAAATCAAAACCACAATGAGATACCATCTCACACCAGTTGGAATGGCAATCATTAAAAAGTCAGGAAACAACAGGTGCTGGAGAGGATGTGGAGAAATAGGAACACTTTTACACTGTTGGTGGGACTGTAAACTAGTTCGACCATTGTGGAAGTCGGTGTGGCGATTCCTCAGGGATCTAGAACTAGAAATACCATTTGACCCAGCCATCCCATTACTGGGTATATACCCAAAGGATTATAAATCATGCTGCTATAAAGACACATGCACATGTATGTTTATTGCAGCACTATTCACAATAGCAAAGACTTGGAACCAACCCAAATGTCCAACAATGATAGACTGGATTAAGAAAATGTGGCACATATACACCATGGAATACTATGCAGCCATAACAAATGATGAGTTCATGTCCTTTGTAGGGACATGGATGAAGCTGGAAACCATCATTCTCAGCAAACTATCGAAAGGACAAAAAACCAACACCGCATGTTCTCACTCATAGGTGGGAATTGAACAATGAGCATGCAGGGACACAGGAAGGGGAACATCACACACCAGGGCCTGTTGTGTGGTGGGGGGAGGGGGGAGGGATAGCATTAGGAGATATACCTAATGCTAAATGACGAGTTAATGGGTGCAGCACACCAACATGGCACATGTATACATATGCAACAAACCTGCACGTTGTGCACATGTACCCTAAAGCTTAAAGTATAATAATAATAATAAAAAGAACTAATATAATATTACAAGGCAAGGTGTGAAGCAGTAATGTTTCCTTGGTCAGTAAGCAGAATGGTTTTGGAACAAACTTTTGCTTTATACCAAAGGGCTGACTTCCCCAACTGAACCCAAAGGGAGGGAAGGAAGCAGCTGGACATGCAGACCCTACCTAGAGGATCTGGGCTTAGCTGCACAGGCTGTGGCCCTGTCCTTGGCGGACATTGTCTGGAGAAGGAAGATCTTGGCCACTGTGTTGTCTCTACTTGTCCAGGAGGATTCAGGGGTACCTTTCTTGGTTCTTGCCATGCCTGGCTGTCACTGGGGAGCCTTTAGGAAATTCCCTAGGGCTCCAGAAAAGCAGAAAAGGAAAATGAAGATGGGTGAGGGTGACATCAAATAAAATTAACTGAGAATGTTCTAAAATATAGGGTGAGTGGAGTTGGAAGGATTGCCTAAGATTTACAAGGGCATTAGAGACATAAGTGTCAACAGCAATGTTCTAAAATCCTAAACCCTACTCTTTATTGGAGGCACAGCTGGGAATATTTGTGTAGGTACAAGACATGCAGTTTTCACTCTTCTCTGTCTTCATTACAGAACAGCACAGTGATGAAGAGACAGGGCTCTGGATGGAAAATACTTGTGTTAAGTGAAGTCTTTCATTAACTAAGACAGTGGCATTTGCACAAAGGGAAATAAGTAAATGAAAAAGAGAAAAGAGAACTGAATAAAGGCATGTGCATATACAAACAAGTGAATTATACATAAGACCAATGGGGGAAAATAACATTTTGAACAAATATTCTAGGAAATTAAATATCCATAGAGTGAAATTAAAATCTGACTTTTGATCTCACATTTCACAAAAATTCAATTCCAGGTAGATCATTGACCTAAATGTAAAAGTAATTTGTTACAGTTTTTAGAGTTTAACTTAGAAAAGTAACTTAATGACCATGAGGTAGAGTAAGATTTCTGAAACTAGACCTAGAGAGTAATTACCATACAGGAGAAAAGATATGCTAACATAGTTGATGTGAGCACTGACTCTGGAGATAGACTGAGTTAATCTCAAGCTTCTATTTCTTTCTTACGGAACTTTACCTCAGATTGGAACTGGACCATAGGAGTGGTAATAATGCCTACCACTTGAGACTCTGTGAAGCTTGAATGAACTAATAATACATAAAGCATGTAGACTAATAGCAGTTATATACCAACCATTAAGCCAATATTTGTTAATACTGACAGTGTTGTCTAAGTAAATTGCAAGATATATCATTTGCATTAGTTGTAAGATGCACCATTACTTTATATGTCACAATGAAAGAATAAAACCATTGACAAAGTATAACACAAATATTTATCACTTAGAATTTTGTCTTATTATTACTGAAAAAATTTATTTCAACTTTGCAAATGTGCAAAAGGCAACTTTCTTATACTGTTATAAGAAAGCAAATTCTTATAACAGCATGCAAATTAGTACAGCTATTATGAAAAACAGTATGAAGTTTCCTCCAAAAACTAAAAATGGAACTACTATAGGACCTAGCAGTCACACTTCTAGGTATGTATCCAAAGGAATTGAAATCAATAAATGGATATTTGCCTTATGTCAGTTCTGCAGTTATAGGAGATGGAAAATATAAGCAAAGTACACTGACAAAAGTATTCCTAAAATTTTTCCCATTCAGATAAATGTCTTCTGAATCAACTTTGAAATCATCTTGGCCATGCTGTCTCCAACATTAACATCAGTTGTGCTAAGCTTGTTCTTGTAACAAACAAACAGAGAGGAGAACAAATGCATTCTATGAGGCCAGTTTACTACCACTAGACACATATGTTACAAGAATAGAAAATCACAGGCAAATAACTTTATGAATATTGTGGCATTAACCTAAACAAAAATACTAGAAAACCAAACACAGCAACATAAAAACAGGATCATTCACTATAACCAAGTGTATTTATCCCAAGAATACAGTTTGGTTCCAAGCATAAAAACAGTTAAGGTAATGTGCTATATTATAGACTAAAGAACAAAAACCAGGTGATCAACTGAAAGGATGTGGAAGTAACAATTGACAATTTAAACCCATTCATGGAAAAAAAAAACCTCAACAAATTTGAGATAGACATAAAATTTCTTAATTCAAATGGACATCCACAAAATACTCATATAACAACATATGCTATCATGAAACCCTCAATATTTTCCACAAGATTAGAACAAAGATGAAGATTTCTACTCTTGTCACTCCTATCCAATATTGTACTGGAGGATATATTCAGGGAAATTAGTCTAGAAAAAGAAATGGAAATTATCCATATTGGAAAGAAATTCAAACAATCTTTTTTTTTGCAAATGTTATGATCTTGTGTAGGAGAAAATCCTAAGGAAACTACTCAAATAAGACTAGAACCAGAAAACAAGTTCAGTAATGTTTTGCAGTATACAAGGTCAATAAAGAAATCAATGGTACTTTTTTTTTTCATTATACTTTATTTTCTGGGATACATGTGCAGAATGTGCAGGTTTGTTACATAGGTATACACGTGCCATGGTGGTTTGCTGCACCCATCAACCTGTCATCTACATTAGGTATTTCTCCTAATGCTATCCATCCCCTACCCCCCAACCCCCTGACAAGCCCCAGTGTGTGATGTTCCCTTCCCTGCGTCCATGTGTTCTCATTGTTCAACTCTCACTTATGAGTGAGGACATGTGGTGTTTGGTTTTCTGTTCCTGTGTTAGTTCGCTGCGAATGATGGTTTCCAGCTTCATCCATGTCCCTGAAAAGGACATGAACTCATCCTTTTATATGGCTGTATAGTATTCCATGGTGTATATGTGCCACATTTTCTTCATCCAGTCTATCACTGATGGGCATTTGGGTTGGTTCCAAGTCTTTGCTATTACAGTGCTGCAATAAACATATGTGTGCATGTGTCTTTATAGTGGAATGATTTATAATCTTTGAGTATATACCCAGTAATGGGATTGCTGGGTCAAATGGTATTTCTAGTTCTAGATCCTTGAGGAATCGCCACACTGTTTTCCACAATGGTTGAACTAATTTACACTCCCACCAATAGTGTAAAATCATTTCTGTTTCTCCACATCTTCTCCAGCATTGGTTGTTTCCTGACTTTTTAATAATCACTGTTCTAACTGGCATGAGATGGTATCTCACTGTGGTTTTGATTTGTATTTCTCTAATGACCAGTGATCATGAGCTTTTTTTCATATGTTTATTGGCCACATAAATGTCTTCTTTTGAGAAGCGTTTGTTCATACCCCTCGCCCACTTTTTGATGGTTTTTTTTTCTTGTAAATTTGTTTAAGTTCCTTGTAGATTTTGGATATTAGCCCTTTGTCAGATGGATAGATTGCAAAAATTTTCTCCCATTCTGTATGTTGCCTGTTCACTCTGATTGATAGTTTCTTTCGCTGTGCAGAAGCTCTTTAGTTTAATCAGATCCCATTTGTCAATTTTTGCTTTTGTTGTCGTTGCTTCTGGTGTTTTAGTCATGAAGTCTTTGCCCATTCCCGTGTCCTGAATGGTATTGCCTAGGTTTTCCTCTAGGGTTTTATGGTTTTAGGTCTTACGATTAAGTCTTTATTCAATCTTGAGTTAAGTTTTGTATAAGGTGTAAGGAAGGGGTCCAATTTCAGTTTTCTGCATATGGCTAGCCAGTTTTCCCAACACCATTTATTAAATAGGGAATCCTTTCCCTATTGCTTGTTTTTGTCAGGTTTGTCAAAGATCAGATGGTTGTAGATGTGTGGCATTCTTTCTGAGGCCTCAGTTTTGTTCCATTCGTTTATATATCTCTTTTGGTACCAGTAAATGGTATTTCTATATACTGCAAATTAACAGTTTAGTAATGAAACTCAGAATAGAATTTCATTTAGAGTAGCATCAAAGAAGAATAGATTTAGGAATACATTTAACAAAATATGAGCAAGATATGTGCACTGGAAAGCAGAAAGCATACTGAAAGAAATTAAAGAACTTTGTGTACATTAACCAATGTCTTTATCCCACACCCACACACTTCCTGGCCTCTTGTATCTATTATTTTATTCTCTACTTCCATGAGATAAACTTTTTTAGCTCCCAAATATGGATGAGAACATGTGATATTTGTCTTCTTGAAGTTCTAATGTTTGATAGCAGACTAGGGTGACTATAGTTAACTACAATATATTGTATATTTCAAAATAGCTAGAACAGAGGACTTGAAATGTTCCCAGGACATAGGAATGATAAATACTTGAGTTGATGGATACCCTAAATACCCTGACTTAATCATTATACATCTTATGCAGTAACAAAATATGACATGTACCAAATAAATGCGTATTATGAATCAATAAAAAGTAATCAAAAAAGTCCTAAATAAATTCCCAAAAAAGTAAAAACAAATTCCCAAGATAATTGACCAGAAGACTTAATATTGTTAAGGTGACACTACTTTCCAAAGAAAGCTACAGATTCAATATATTTCCTGTAAAAATCCTAGCTTTTTCTTTTCATGATTTCAAGCAATTGGCAACGCAATTCTAAAATTCATATGGAGGTGCAAGTGCTACAAAACAGTCTTTAAAGGACAAGTTGGATTACTCAACTCATATTTAATAATTTTAAAACTTCCTACAACCTGATATTAATCAAGACATTGCGGTACTGGTATAAGGATAAATATATAGGTCAGTGAAATAGAGTTTAGTGTCTAAAAATTAACCCTGGCATATATGGTCAATTGATTTTACAAGGTTGCCAAGTCAACTCTATATGGAAAATATTTTTTCCAATAAATATTGCTGGGACAAGTGGATATTCACACCCAAGTTGGACTCCTCCCACACTATACACACGACTGACTCAAAATTGATCATAGAACTAAATATAACAGCTAAATTTACAAATCTCATGGAAGAGTATATAGGAATAAATCTTCATGGCCTTTGGTAAAAGAATGGTTTCTATGATATGATACCAAAATATAAATGAAAGAAGAAAAATATAAATTATAAATGAACTTCATCAAAATTATAATCTTTTGTGGCTCAAAGAACAGCATCAACATAAATGAAAGAATGGGAGACAATGTTTGCAAATCATATAGTTGATAGAGGCCTATTGCCCAGAATATGTAAAATATTCTTGCAACTCGAAAATATAAAGGGAAATGTTCTAATTAAAAGTGGGTAAATTGTGTGAACAGACATTTCTCCAAAAAAGCTATAGTTATGCCTAATAAGCATATGAAAAGATACTCAACACCTTTAGCTGTTAGTGAAATATAAATGCAAATCTCAGCCACCAAGAGCTACACTTCACAAATATTAAAGGCACATTCTTACATGAAAGAAGGCATACTGTATAATTTCATTTATATGACACTCTGGAAAAGGTGAAATTACAGAAAAAAATAAAAAAGATTAGTGGTAAGTAGGGGCTTGGGAGAGAGCAAGGTTGGAATAGATGAAATAGAAAACATTTATTTTGGGCAATGAAATTATTCTCTATGATACTGTAATGATATGTTGATACTTTTTTTCAAATCATACTGAACTTTACATTACAAAGAGTAAATATAAATGCATGGAAACTAAATTATCTATCTATCTATCTATCTATCTATCTATCTATCCATCTATCTATCTATTCAGAAGATGGGGATCCTAGAGAGGAATACAAAAAATTCTGTAACTGTAAAATAAATGGATGGAATATCCTCACTGAGAGGAATGACGGAAAGGGAGAGTGATGTACATTACTTAGAAAACAAGTGACTATACTAATTGTCAAAGGAGTTGTCCATAACTACTGCACTTTACTTGGTAAAGTTGTTTTCCAAGAACAAGAAACTGATTCATGTTTTGCTGGATTAGATAATGTGGTGACGAGACATTAGTAGGGATTCAGTTTAACTCTATATAGACACATATGGGCAAATGCAGTAACATGTATACATACGTGTATATGTGTGAGTTAGTATACACACATATTCCTTTGCTCTGTCAGCTGACATAGCCTAGAAACAACAGATTCCCAATAGCAATGAGTGCACCTATTGCCCAGAACTTTGTTCCCTATACTATTAACTAAATAAAAGAATTAGGATTCCTTGAAGAAATTGTGACTATGAGGTGTGGGCAGAGAATCAACACAATTAACACAGAGCATCTTGTAGTGCTAGAAAGAGAGAAGATGCTGGGCCAAGATGGCCGAGTAGCAACAGCTCTGGTCTGCAGCTTCCACTGAGACAAATGTAAAAGGCAAGTGATTTCTGCATTTCCAACTGAGGTACCCAGATTTTCTCATTGCAACTGACTAGGCAGTTGGCATGACCATGAAAAACAAGGAAAAGCAGGGTGAGGCGATGATTCACTCGGGAGCTGGTTCACCTGGGACCTTCTCTCCCAGCTAAGGGAGGCAGTGAGGGACAGTGCTGCCTGCCTGGGGTTCTACACTTTTCCCATGAATTTTTGCAATCTGTGGATCAGAAGATTCCCTTGTGTGCCTACCTCACCAGGGCCTTGGGTCCCAAGCACAAAACTGGGCAGACCCATGGCAGCTGCACCATTCTGCAGCCATTGGGGCAGGCACTGAGCTGCAGGAGTTTTTATATACTCTGTTGGCTCCTGGAACTCCAGGTGGCCAGAGTGCCGTCCATTCTCGTGGAAAGGGGGCTGAAGCCAGGGAGCCAAGTGACCTCACTCAGTGGGTTCCACTCCTATGAAATCCTGCAAGATAAGACCCACTGGCTTGGAATCCCTGCTGGCCAGCACAACAGCCTGGGGTCTGCCTAAGATGACTGAGTTATGGGAAGTGGGGGGCACCATTACTGTGGCTCTAGTCTGCAGTTTTCCCCCACCAGTGCTAGAGAGGCTGGGTGGTTTGGACTGGGCAGTATTTCCCAAGGAACAGTACAGCAGCTGTGGCCAATCGTGGCCAGACTGCTTCTTCTGGTGGGACATGGATTCATCCCTCCTCACTGGGCAGGGCCTCCATGCAGGAATTCCAGCAACTCTAGCTAGGGGTTTACAGACAGAACTCTCACCTCCCTTGGACAGAGCACCTAGGGGGAGGGGTGGCCTTGGTCTCAGGTTCAGCGGACTTAATCTTTCCTGCCTGCTGTCTCTGAAGAGTCTGGGTTATCTGGAAGAGGGGGAAGCCCCCAGCACAGAGCACCAGCTCTGCTGAGGGGCAGCCAAACTGCTCCCTGATCCCGTGCCTCCTGACTGAGTAGCCCTCCCAACAGGGCTAGCCAGACACCTCATACAGGAGAGTTCTGGTTGGCATCAGATCAGTGCCCTTCTGGTACAAAGCTTTTGGAGGAGGGAGCAGGCATTAATCTTTGTTGTTCTGTAGCCTCCACTGGTGAAACCCAGGTGAACGGGGTCTGAAATAGACCCCCAGCAAACTGCAGCAGACCCGCAGAAGAGGGCTCTGACTGTTAGAAAGAAAAACAAACAAAAAGCAATAACAACACCAACAAAAAAGATCCCACAAAAACCCCATCCAAAGCTCAACAGCCTCAAATATCAAAGATAGATAAATCCACTAAGATGAAGAAAAATCAATGCAAAGACACTAAAGTTTCCAAAATCCAGAGTACCTCTTCTCCTCCAAATGATTGCAACACCTCTTCAGCAAGGGCACAGAACTGGGCTGAAGCTGAGATGGATGACTGACAGAAGTAGGCTTCAGAAAGTTAGTGATAACAAAGTTCGCTGAGCTAAAGGATTATGTTCTAACCCAATGCAAAGAAGGTAGAAATCATGATAGAAGTTTACAGGAGATGTTAACTAGAATACTCAATTTAGAGACGAATATCAATGACCTAATGAAGCTGAAAAACACAGCATGAGAACTTCATCAAGCAAACACAAGTATCAATAGCTGAATCGATCAAGTGGAAGAAAGTATATCAGAGCTTGAAGCCTATTTTGCTGAAACAAGGCAGGCAGACAAGATTAGAGAATAAAGAATTGAAAGGAATGAACAAAGCCTCCAAGAACTATGGGACTATATAAAGAGATTGAATTTACAACTGATTGGAGTACCTGAAAGAGATGAGGAGAATAAAATGAAGCTGGAAAACACAATTCAGAATATCATCAAGGAGAACTTCCCCAACCTAGCAAGACAGGGCAACATTCAAATTCAGGAAATCCAGAGAACCTCAAGAAGATACTCCATGAGAGACAATCCTCAAGACACATAATCATCTGATTTTTTACGGACAAAATGAAGGAAAAAATGTTAAGGGCAACCAGAGAGAAAGGCCAGGTCACCTCCAAAGGGAAGCCCATCAGACTAACAGTAGACTTCTCAGCAGAAACCTTACAAGCCAGAATAGATTGGGGCCAATATTCAACATTCTTAAAGAAAAGAATTTCCAAACTAGAATTTCACATCTGGTCAAAATATGCTTCATAATTGAAGGAGAAATAAAATCATTTTCAGGCAAGCAAATGCTGAGGGATTTCATTAACACCAGGCCTGCCTTGCAAGAGTTCCTGAAGGAAACACTAAACATGGAATGAAAAAGCCATTATGAGCCACTATGAAAACACTGAAGTACACAGACCAATGACACTATGCAGCAACTACATTAACAAATCTGCAAAATAACCAGCCAGCATCAGGATGACAAGGTGAAATTCACACATAACAATAATAACTTTAAATGTAAACGGGCTAAATGCCACAATCAAAAAAACACAGAATGGCAAGCTAGATAAAATGACAAGACCCATCAGTGTGCTGTATTCAAGAGACAGACACATCTCACCTGCAAAGAAAAATAGAGGCTCAGAATAAAAGGATGGAGGAAAATTTACCAAGCAAATGGAAAGGAGAAAAAAAAAGCAGGGGTTACAATCCGAGTTTCTGACAAAACAGACTTCAAATCAACAAAGGTCAAAAGAGACAAAGAAGTGCATTACATCATGGTAAAGTGTTCAATTCAACAAGAAGAGCTAACTATCCTAAATATATATGCACCAAATACAGGAGCATCCAGATTCATAAAACAAGTTCTTAGAGACCTACAAAAAGACTTAGACTTCCACACAATAGTAATGGGAGATTGTAATGCCCTGCTGTCAGTATTAGACAGATCATTGAGTCAGAAAATTAACAAAAATATCTAGGACTTGAACTCAGCTCTAGACTAAGAGAATCTGAAAGATGTCTACAGAACTCCCCACCCCAAAAGAGCATAATATACATTTTTCTCTGTGCCACATGACACTTACTCTAAAATTGATCACACAATTGGAAGTAAAACACACTTCAGCAAATGCAACATAACTGAGGGCAGTCTCTCAGACTGCAGCACAATCCAATTAGAACTCAAGGTTAAGAAACCTCCTCAAAACCACACAGCTACATGGAAATCAAACGACCTGCTTCTAAATGACTTCTGGGTAAATAACAAAATTAAGGCAGAAATCAAAAAGTTCTTTAAAATGAATGAGAACAAAGAGACAACATACCAGAATCTCTGGGATGCAGCTAAAGCAGTTTTAAGAAGGAAATTTATAGCACAAAATGCCCACATCAAAAAGCGAGAAAGACCTCAAATTGACACCCTGACGTAACAACTAAAATAATAAGAGAACCAAGAGCAAACACACCCCAGAGCTAGCAGAAGACAAGAAATAACTAAGCTCAGAGAGGAACTGAAGTAGTTAGAGTCATGAAAAACCCTTCAAAAAATCAATGAATCCAGGAGCTGTTTGTTGGGAAAAAATCAGCAAAACAGACCACTAGCTAGACAAATAAAGAAGAAAAGAGAGAAAATTCAAATAAATACAATTAGAAATGATAAGGGGGATACCACCACTGACCCCACAGAAATACAAACCCCCATCAGAGAACACCATAAACACCTCTGTGGAAATAAACTGCAAAATCTAGAAGAAATGGATACATTCCTGGATGCATACACCCTCCCAAGACTGAACCAGGAAGAAGTTGAGTCCCTGAAGAGACCAATAACAAGTTCTGAAGTTGAGGCTGTAATAAAATAAAATAAATAAATAAAATTAAAACCAAAAAAAGCCCAGGACCAGATGGTTTAACAACTGAAGACTACCAGAGGTACAAAGGAGAACTGGTACAATTCCTTCTAATACTATTCCAAAAAATTGACTCAGTATATGAGGCCAGCATCATCCTGATACCAAACCTGGCAGAGGCACAACAAAAAAAGAAAACTTTAGGCCAATATTCCTGATGAACATCAGTGCAAAAAATTCAACATTCCTTCATGTTAAAAACTCTCAGTGAGCTAGGTATTGAAGGAACATATCTTAAAATAATAAGAGCCAGTTATGACAAACCCACAGCCGATATCATACTAAATGGGCAAAAGCTGGAAGCATTCCCCTTGGAAACTGGCATAAGACAAGGAGGCCTTCTCTCACCACTCTTATTCAACATAGTATCGGATGTTCTGGCCAAGGCAATCAGGCAATAGAAAGAAATAAAGGGTATTCAAATAGGAAGAGAGGAAGTCAAATTGTCTTTGTTTGCAGATGACATGATTGTCTATCTAGAAAATCCCATCAACTCAGCCCAAAAGCTTCTCAAGCTGATAAGCAAGTTCAGCAGTCTCAGTCTACAAAATCAATGTGCAGAAATCACAAGCATTCCTATACACCAACAACAGACAAGCAGAGAGCTAAATAATGAATGAACTCCCATTCACAATTGCCACAGAGAGAATAAAATACCTGTGAATACAGCTAACAATGGAGGTGAAGGACCTCTTCAAGGAGAACTACAAACTACTGCTCAAGGAAATCAGAGAGGATACAAACATATGGGCAAATATTCCATGCTCATGGATAGGAAGAATCAATATCATAAAATGGCCATACTGCTCAAAGTAATTTATAGATTCAATTCTATTCCCATTAAACTACCACTGACATTCTTCATAGAATTAGAAAGAAACTCTTTTAAAATTCATATGGAACCAATATAGCCAGGGCAATCTAAAGCAAAGAAAACAAAGCTGGAGGCATCACACTACCTGGCTTCAAACTATACAAGTCTACAGTAACCAAAGCAGCATAGCACTGGTACAAAAACAGGCACAGAGACTAATGGAACAGAACCGAGAACTCACAAATAAAACTGCATATCTACAACCATCTGATCGTTGACAAACCTCTGGTTCAAAAGTAGAAGGACAGAGACTTTTCTGAAAACCAACAAGACAAAATTGCTCAGAGTCTCATGCTTAAAACGAGCTATGAATGTTTCTATTGTAGATTAGTTTGTCCTAATTGTGAAAGGTTTAAAAAGGCATTAATTTGTATAGACCGAACACTAACACTCTCACTCTGAATGCTGAGACCAACAATTTCATTAATATGCAATAATGAATTTCAGCATATTGTCTGATTTTCCCTTACCCAAAGGTTATAGACATTGGCTGGAATCTATGATTCCTTCAACATAGTTTTGTAAATGTCTGCATTACATTTCCTTGCTCAAATGGTCCATGTTATATATCTATGTACATGTATTCTTGTCCTTGCCCCTGCAGAACCCTCAGAGAGGCTCTGAGCTCAGCAGGACCAGCTGTAGCCCTGCTCTTTGAGGTTGTGGTCTACAGGGGAAGGACGATGGCCACTGGGTCATTTGTGTTTGCCCAAGAGAAACCCAGATGTGTCTGTACAGAGTTCTGGCACCACTGAATGTTACAGATGGAGAGGAAGGTCCCTAAGTCTCCAGAAAACAGGGAAAAAAAAGAGGAAGTGTGGCATCGAATAAATTTCACTGAGAATGTATTTAAAAAATAAAGTGGGAGACATGTTGGGGATTGCCTATGATTCACAAGGACTTTAGAGAAATAAGCATTAACAGTAATGTTCTAAGGTTCTAAACCCCCCTCTTTATTCAAGGTACAGCTGGGAATATTGGTTAGGTGAAAGGCATGCAAGTTTTTCCACATTCTTCATTATAGAACAGCATAGTGTTTAAGAGAATTGGCCCAGGCAGCAACAAAAAGTAAGCAGATTTTCCCAAGATCAAAGATCAAGAAACTTTGTATATTTTTTACTTCTCCCCCTTTCTTAGCCTTGCTACTTTCAAAACAACAATAACAATACAGCAAAACTCTGCCGTTTAACAATGGTCTCTCACCAATTTTTTTCCCATTTCTTGGTCATTTATTCTGTGGCTCACTAAATATTTCTTGTCTCAATTTATCTTATTCTCTCTCTGATTCTCAAACATGTGTTTTCTTTCAGTGTCTTACTCTTATTATTAATCTTCTCCAATTTCTCAACAGGTCAAGCACTGATGTGGGATCTTTTGCACCAGTTTTCCAAATCCTGGCCATGTTAACTAGTTTGATTACTGGTTAACATCTAGATAATAAAAAAGAACCTGAAGTAATTTTAATTCCTGACAATATCAGTAGCAACTCCATAAAATGGATGTTTAGCAGGGTATGGCATCTACAACCAATGAAACAGTGTGCTCTACTTCTTCATGTGGTGAGTTAATTAGCTGCAGATAGACCTCTATGGAAGCTTAAGCACTGTCCTTTGCTCAGGTAAAGTCATTAGAAGAGAAGTTTTCGCTTTACACGGAAAACAGACATAATGCTGAACTCCTTCTAGATGCCATACAAAGGCAATGCTGCAAACAATCCCTGTGGTTTGATCCACAGGTGTTATCCTTAAACCTCTCATGAAGGTTTTATATGTTCCTGTTACTTACTCTTATGATACATGTACTTGACAAATCAACAGATGTTACAGCTGGCAAAAAAACCAGCCCTGGGAAAACTGGAGTAGCTCAGCTTTCCTTCTAATTGAGCTGCCAAACACCAAATGTTACATACATACATATATATATATATATATATGTTACATACATATATATGTTATATATATATGTTACATACATATATATGTTACATATATATGTTACATACATATATATGTTACATATATATGTTACACATACATATATGTTACACACATATATATGTTACACACATATATATATGTTACATACATATATATGTTACATACATATATATATGTTACACACATATATATATGTTACACATATATATATATGTTACATACATATATATATGTTACATACATATATATGTAACAGGTCATAAATATAACTTATTTATATATATGTATGTTATATATATATACACACACACCAAAATTCTGGGCTCATTGGTTGGCAGACAATACTAAGCTTTACTGCTGCCAAAGCCAAACTGAAGGCCTCATCTATTAGTTATTTTGTAAAGTGGTAAAGTGTTTTGCTCCTACAAACTGACCTGGATACATGAAAAATAGTAATGAGCAGATGCCAACATGACAGATGAGAAGATACAGTAAACCTTAACCAGGTGAGGTACAAGTTCCACTCTGACATCATCCCTTAACAACACTGGTCTTTTTATATTAAGTGGTGACAAGATATGTAATGAGCTCCCATCTAGATGGTCAGGACCATATGGATGCTGATACCCAACACATTCTACAACCAGGCACTCCATCTTAAGTGCCAGCAAAGTTACAAACTTGGGATCCTTTGTTCCTAAAGTACTACCACAGAAACATGCTTGGCATGGCATCATAGAAAATCCACTTGTAGCTTCACAATTCTAAATCCCTTTTTTTCTGCATTGTGAGCTGCCTTATTTTTATTAATTCATGTTTGATATACAGTAATTGTAAATATTTATGGGGTAAAATGTGATGTATAAATATTTGTATAAATTGTGTAATGATCAATCTAGAGTAAGTATATCCATCATCTTAAACATGTATGTTTCTTTGTGATGAGAACATTCAAAAACTTCTCTTCTAGCTATTTTAAAATATATAATACATTTACATTTAATTCTAGTCATCCTACTATGCAACAGACCACTGGAAATTATTCCTCCTATCTAACCAAAGCTTTGTACCCATTGACCAATGTCTCACCATCCCCAATTTCCTCTACCCTTTCCATCTTCTAGTAGCCACTATTCTACTCTCTACTTCTATGAGAATGTGTTTTAGAATTACCACATATGAATGAGATCATGCGATATTTTTCTTTCCATGTCTAGCTTATTTCACTTTCCATAATGTCCTCCAACTTCATTCATGTTGTTGTAAATGACAAGATTTCATTCCTTTTTATGACTCAATAGTATTCAATTGTGTATATATAACACATTTTCTTTATCCATTCATCTGTTTGTAGACATTTAGGCTGATCCATCTCTTCGCTATTATGAATAAACAGAGGAGTGTAACATTGCTTTGACATATTGACTTTTCTTCCTTTGCATATAAATCATGTTGGATATCTACATGCAGAAGAATGAAATTAGACCCTTATCACTCACCATATCCAAAAGCAATAAAAAAGCCATAAAACAGATTGAAGACATAACGGTAAGACTCAAAACTATAGAAATACTGGCAGAAAACATGAGTGGAAAACTTAATGACATTAGTAAGCTAATGTCATAGGTCATAAATAAGTTATAAAAACCCTAGGCAAGGGTTTTTCAAATAAAACCTCAAATGCATGGGCAACAAAAGTGAATATAGACAAACGGGATTATATCACACTAAAAAGCCTCTGATCAGCAAAGGAAACAATCAACAGTGCAAAGAGACAATCTATAGAATAAGTGAATATTTTTGCTAACTATACATCTGATAGGGGGCTAATGTAAAAAATATATAAGGAACTCAAATAGCTCAGCAACAACAAAAAATAAGCTGATTTTAAAACGGGCAAAATAATAGACATTTCTCAGAAGAAGACATACAAAAGGTCAACAGATATATAAAAAATTCTCAACATCCCTAATTATCAGGGAAATACAAATTAAAACTACAATAAGATATCTCTTCCCTTCAGTCAGAATGGCAATCATCAAAATATAAGAAAATTAGTCTGATGGGCTTCCCTTTGTGGGTAACCCAACCTTTCTCTCTGGCTGCCCTAAACTTTCTTCCTTCATTTCAACCTTGGTGAATGTGACGATTATGTGTCTTGGGGTTGCTCTTTTCGAGGAGTATCTTTCTGGTTTTCTCTGTATTTCCTGAATTTGAATGTTGTCCTGTCTTGCTAGATAGGGGAAGTTCTTCTGAATAATATTCTGAAGAGTGTTTTCCATCTTGGTTTCATTCTCCCCATCACTTTCAGGCACACCAAATGTAGGTTTGGTCTTTACACATAGTCCCGTATTTCTTGGAGGCTTTGTTCTTTCCTTTTCATTCTTTTTTCTCTAATCTCATCTTCACACTTTATTTCATTAAGTTGATCTTCAATCTCTGATATCCTTTCTTCCACTTGATCGATTCGGCTATTAATACTTCTGTATGCTTCATGAAGTTCTCGTGCTGTGGTTTTCAGTTCCATCAGGTCATTTATCTTCTTCTTTGAACTGGTTATTCCAGTTAGCAATTCCTCTAACCTTTTTTCAAGGTTCTTAGCTTCCTCACATTGGGTTAGAACATGCTCCTTTAGCTCAGAGGAGTTCATTATTACCCACCTTATGAAGCCTACTTCTGTCAATTTGTCAAACTCATTCTCCATCCAGTTTTGTTCCCTTGCTGGTGAGGAGTTGTGATCCTTTGGAGGAGAAGAGGTGTTCTGGTTTTTGAAATTTTCAGCCTTTTTGCACTGGTTTTCCTCATCTTCGTGGATTTATCTACCTTTGGTCTTTGATGTTGGTGACCTTCAGATGGGGTTTTTGTGTGGACATCCTTTTTGTTGATGTTGATGCTATTCTTTTCTGCTTGTTAGTTTTCCTTCTAACATTTGTTGATGTTGATGCTATTCCTTTCTGTTTGTTAGTTTTCCTCTAACAGTCAGGCCCCTCTGCTGCAGACTGCTGTAGTTTGCTGGAGGTCCACTCCAGACACTGTTTGCCTGGGCATCACCAGTGGAGGCTGCAGAACAGCAAAGATTGCTGCCTGTTCTTTCCTCTGGAAACTTTGTCCTAGAGGGGCACCTGCCAGACGCCAGCCAGAGCTCCCCTGTATGAGGTTTCTGTCGATCCCTGCTGGGAGGTGTCTCCTAGTCAGGAGGCACAGGGATCAGGGACCCACTTGAGGAGGTAGTCTGTCCCTTAGCAGAGCTTGAGCACTGTGTTGGGAGATCCACTGCTCTCTTCAGAGCCAGCAGGTGGGAACGTTTAAGTCTGCTGAAGCTGTGCCCATAGCTGCCCCTTCCCCCTGCAGCAACCCTACAAGCCAGAAGAGAGTGGGGGCCAATATTCAATATTCTTGAAGAAAAGAATTTTCAACCCAGGATTTCATATCCAGCCAAACTAAGATTCATAAGTGAAGGAGAAGTAACATCCTTTACAGACAGGCAAATGCTGAGAGATTTTGTCTTCACCAGGCCTGCCTTACAAAAGCTCCTGAAGGAAGCACTAAACATGGAAAGGAAACACCGGTAGCAGCCAATGCAAAAACACGCCAAATTGTAAAGACCATCGATGCTATGAAGAAACTGCATCAACTAACTGGAAAAAATAACCAGCTAACATCATAATGACAGGATCAAATTCACACATAACAATATTAACCTTAAATGTAAATGGGCTAAATGTCCCAATTAAAAGACACAGACTGGCAAATTGGATAAAAAGTCAAGACCCATCGCTGTGCTGTATTCAGGAGACCTATCTCACATGAAAAGACACACATAGGCTCAAAATAGAGGGATGTAGGAAGATCTACCAAGCAAATGGAAAGCAAACAAAAGCATGGGTTGCAATCATAGTCTCCGATAAAACAGACGTTAAACCAACAAAGATCAAAAAAGACAAAGAAGTACATTACATAACGGTAAAGGGATCAACGCAACAAGAAGAGCTAACTATCCTAAATATATATGTACCTAATACAGTAGCACCCAGATTCATAAAGCAAGTTCTTAGAGACCTATAAAGAGACTTACACTCCCACACAATAATAGTGGGAGACTTTAACATCCCACTGTCAATATTAGAAAGACCAATGAGACAGAAGGTTAACAAGGATATTCAGGACTTGAATTCAGCTCTGGACCCGGTGGACCTAAGAGACATCTACAGAACTCTCCACCCCAAATCAACATAATATACATAACTCTCAGCACCACATCACACTTATTCTAAAATTGACCACACAATTGGAAGTAAAACACTCCTCAGCAAAAGCAAAACAACAGAAATCACAACTGTCTCTCAGACCACAGTGCAATCAAATTAGAGGTCAGGATAAAGAAACTCACTCAAAACTGTACAACTACATGGAAACAGAACACCCTGCTCCTGAATGACTACTGGGTAAATAATGAAATTAAGGCAGAAATAAATGAGTTATTTGAAACCAATGAGAACAAAGACACAACATACCAGAATTTCTGGGACACAGCTAAAGCAGTGTTTAGAGGGAAATTTATAGCACTAAATGCCCACAGGAGAAAGTGGGAAAGATCTAAAATCGACACCCTAACATCACAATTAAAAGAACTAGAGAAGCAAGAGCAAACAAATTCAAAACCTAGTAAAAGACAACAAATAACTAAGATCAGAGCAGAACTGAAGGAGATAGAGACATGAAAAACCCTTCAAAAAATCAATGAATCCAGGAGCTGGTTTTGTGAAAAAATAAACAAAATAGACCACTAGCCAGACTAATAAAGAAGAAAAGAGAGAAAAATCAAACAGACACAATAAAAAATGATAAAGGGGATATCACCACTGATCCCACAGAAATACAAACTACCATCAGAGAATACTATAAACATCTCTACACAAATAAACTAGAAAATGGATAAGTTCCTGGACACATACACCCTCCCAAGACTAAACCAGGAAGAAGTCAAATCCCTGAATAGACCAATAACAAGTTCTGAAATTGAGGCAGTAATTAATAGCCTACCAACCCAAAAAAAAGCCCCTGACCAGATGGATTCACAGCTGAATTCTACCAGAGGTACAAAGAGGAGCTGGTACCATTCCTTCTGAAACTATTCCAAACAATAGAAAAGAGGCACTCCTCCCTAACTCATTTTATGAGGCCAGCATCATCCTGATACCAAAGGCTGGCAGAGACACAACAAAAAAAGAAAATTTCAGGCCAATATCACCGGTGAACATCAATGCAAAAATCCTCGATAAAATACTGGCAAACCAAATCCAGCAGAACATCAAAAAGCTTATCCACCACAATCAAGTCAGCTTCATCCCTGGGATGGAAGGCTGGTTCAACATATACAAGTCAATAAACATAATCCATCACCTAACTGAGCCAATGAAAAAAACCACATGATTATCTCAATTGATGCAGAAAAAGGTCTTTGATAAAATTCAGCAGCCCTTCATGCTAAAAACTCTCAATAAACTAGGTATTGATGGAACATATCTCAAAATAATAAGAGCTATTTATGAAAAACCCACAGCCAATATCATGCTGAGTGGGCAAAAGCTAGAAGAATTCCCTTTGAAAGCCAGCACGAGACAAGGATGCCCTCTGTCACCACTCCTATTCAACATAGTATTGGAAGTTCTGGCCAGGGCAATCAGGCAAGAGAAAGCAATAAAGGGTATCCAAGAAGGAATAGAGGAAGTCAAATTGTCTGTGTTTGCAGATGACATGATTGTATATTTAGAAAACCCCATCGTCTCAGCCCAAAATCTCCTTAAGATGATAAGCAACTTCAGCAAAGTCTCAGGATACAAAATCAATGTGCAAAAACCACAAGCATTTTTATCACCAACAATAGACAAACAGAGAGCCAAATCATGAGTGAACTCCCATTCACAATTGCTACAAAGAGAATAAAGTACCTACGAATACAACTTACAAGAGATGTGAAGGGCCTCTTCAAGGAAAACTACAAACCACAGCTCAAGGAAATAAGAGAGGACGCAAATAAATGGAAAAACATTCCATGCTCATAGATAGGAAGAATCAATATCATGAAAATGGCTATACTGTCTAAAGTAATTTATATATCCAATGATATCCCCATCAAGCTACAATTGACTTTCTTCACAGAATTAGAAAAAAACTACTTTAAATTTCATATGGAACCAAAAAAGAGCCCATATAGCCAAGAAAATCCTAAGCAAAAAGAGCAAACCAGGAGGCATCACACTACCTGACTTCAAGCTATACTACAAGGATACGTAACCAAAACAACATGGTACTGGTACCAAAACAGATATATAGACCAATGGAACAGAACAGAGGCCTCAGAAGCAACACCACACATCTACGACCATCTGATCTTTGACAAACCTGACAAAAGCAAGCAATGGGGAAAGGATACCCTATTTAATAAATAGTGTTGGGAAAATTGGCTAGCCATATGCAGAAAGCTGAAACTGGATCCCTTCCTTACACCTTATACAAAAATGAACTCAAGATGGATTAAAGACTTAAACATAAGACCTAAAACCAGAAAAACCCTAGAAGAAAACCTAGGCAATTCCATTCAGGACATAGGCATAGGCAAAGACTTCATGAATAAAACACCAAAAGCAATGGCAACAAGAGCCAAAATTGACAAATGGGATCTAATTAAACTAAAGAGCTTCTGCACAGCAAAAGAAACTACCATCAGAGTGAACAGACAACATACAGAATAGGAGAAAATTTTTGCAATCTATCCATCTGATGAAGAGCTAATATCCAGAATCTACAAGGAATTTACATTTACAAGAAAAAAACAAATAACCCCATAAAAAAGTAAATGAAATTTTTTTAAATTTTAAATTTAAATTTAAAGTATAATAAAATGTTGAACTAGAACTTAAAGTATAATTAAAATGTTGAAAAAAATAGGTAACACCATTAGAATAATTTTAAAAATTTAAAATAGAACTATTATATAATTCTAACTTCTCTTTAGTATTGAGAAATCTTTTTCCTGGCTCTGTGACTTATGAGTTGGAAAATGCATTTATAAATTTTTTCATAGTAATATAACAAGAATTTAATGTCACTATGCAATCGTTGGAAGCACTCCAATCAGAAGTTAACAGTTTAGATTTGGTCATACTTTAAATAATTGTCACACTATGCACATTTAAGGCCCTAAAAGGTGGAATCTGTGCAATCATTGGTGAAGAATGTTGCTTCTACGTAAAGCACATGAGACAAATAGTGTCTAATCTGCCCTTTTAAAAGACAAGATAATCTCTCTCCATCAGATAAATGAGGCTCAACAATTTTATTTGACTGATTTATTTCCAAGGATGAGAGACTTCGTTAATGGGAAATGGTGCAATGTGCTTAGATTTGTTGGGTTTTTTTTCTTGCTTATTTATTCTTGTTTTAATCTATGTTATTTTCTACCTTCGTAAATCTCTTGCCACTCAGTTACTTGATTTTTCTCTCCAAAGCCACCAAATTAGGCATTTAATATGTGAAACTTCTAGAGAAGTTCCATATGGTAGACATGAAGGAGTTAATAATATACCACTCTGGTATATTGACTATTTTGAATTATAGGCACTTGAAAAAACAGCAAGTACAAGAAGGTCATTCTGACCTATTATCTGTTTTTAAGAGCAAGAGATGTGAATGGTGCCTTCCCCACACTGGAAGAAAGGCAACAATCTTATCATCAAGATGCGAAGCTGAGACCAGAGGCCTCTGTATAGACCTTCTTAAAATAATTCTTATTACAATTCCTCCAGGTAAAGAATCAAGATACAGAGAATGTCTGAGACTCGGGTCTCAACTAAGGTCTCAACTGAAGGCTTAACATGGGAAGGTTCCTTTTCCAAGCTCATGTAATTGTTGGTAGGATTCAATTCCCTGCCTAGGTTGAGATGACTTCAGTGTTGAATTATTTTAAACCTTTAAAGATTACTACCAATCCTTTATTAATGTCTCAAAACAACCAAAACAAAAGCAAACAAATAAATAAAAAAACAGAGAAGAGATCACTTTCAATGCATTCTTTGAGACAATTTTATCCAGATACCACAACTAGACAGACATTAGAAGAAAAGGAAATTACAAACAAATATACAAATATAGCTTATGAATATAGAGGCAAAATTCCTCAAGGCAGGACTTCTTTAGTGAACAAATCAGCAATGTATAAAAATGATTATACATTGTGATCAAGGGTATTTATCCCAAGAACTTTGGTTCAACATACAAAAATAATTAGTGTAATGCACTATATTAATGAAGAACAATAATCACACTGTCATCTCAAAAGATACCGAAAAAGCATTTGACAAATTTAAAACCCATTTATCATATAAACATTCAACAAATTAGAGATAGAAGAGAACTTTCTTAACGTAAAAAGGGCATCCACAAAAATTCTCATCATGTGCTATTATGAATAGCTCAGTAGTTTCCCCAAGATTGTAAACAAGACAATGATGTCTATTCTTGCCACTTATATTCAACATTATACTGGAGGTTGTAGTGAGGGCAATTAGGCCAGAAAAACACAGGTAAAACACTCATATTGAAAAGAAAGAATTCAAATTATTTCTCTTCAAAAATAACATGGTCTTTTGTATATAATATCTAAGGATATACTAAAATATGATTAGAACTAAAAAAAATCAACTTCAGCAAGGTTGCGGCATACAAGATCAATATACAAAAATTAATTGTATTTGTATACTGTAGCAATGAAGAATCTAAAGGTAAAACTCAAAAAACAATTCCATTTAAAATATCATCAAAATATACTTAGGAATAAATTTAACAAAATAACTGCAAGATATGTGCACTGAAAACAAAAAGGCATTGAAAACATTTAAAGAAACTAAATAAGTGGAAAAATATTTGATGGTCATTGATCAGAAGGTTTAATAGTCTTAGGATGGCAATACATTCAAAATGGATCTGCAGATTCAAGACAATCCATGTTGAAATCTTAGCTTTCTAGGCATCACATTACCCAACTTCAAACTATATTACAAGGCTACAGTGACCAAAACAGCATGGTACTGGTACCAAAACAGATACATAGACCAATGGAACAGAATAGAGAAATCATAAATAAAGCCACACACCTAAAGCCATCTGATCTTTGACAAAATTGATAAAAATAAGCAATGTGGGAAGGACTCCTTATTCAACAAATGGTGCTACTAGTCATATGCAGAAGAATGAAACTGGACCCGTCTTTCACCACATGCAAAAAATGACTCAAGACGTATAAAATATTTAAATGGAAAACCTCAAACTACAAGAATCCTGGTGATCCAAAACAAAAACAAACAAACAGAAGAACAGAGAAGCAATCCCTTCCAATGCAATTTTCTGAGGCTATTTTACTCAGATACCACAACTAGACAGACATTAGAAGAAAAGGAAATTATAGGCAAATATGACTAAAGAATATAGAGGAAAAGTCCTCAAGGAAACACGAGTAAACAAATCAGCAACATATACAAATGATTATACATTGTGATCAAGGGTATTTATCCCAAGAACTTTGGTTCAACATACAAAAGTAATTAGTGTAATGCATTAAGTTAATAAAAAACAACAACCACAATGTCAACAGCCCAAAACCACCATTTTGGACATCAGCCTTGAGAAAGAATTTATGACTAAGTCCTCAAAAGCAATTGATACGAAAACAAAAATTGACAAGTGAGAACTAATTAAACTAAAGAGCTTCTGAACAACAAAAGAAACTATCAACAGAGTAAATAGACAACCTACAGAATGGGAGACATATTCACAAAATATATATCTGAAAAAGGTCTAATATTCAGAATGTATAAGGAATTTACACAATTCAATAAACAAAAAGCAAATAGCCCCATTAAGAAAGCAAGCAAAAGACATTAGCAGATACATCTCACAAAAAAATACAAGCAGCCAGTAAACATATGAAAAAATGCTCAACATCAAAAATCATCAGAGAAATGCAAATCAAACCCACAATGAAATACCATCTCACACCAGTCAGAATCCTTATTGTTAAAAAGCAAAAACAACAACAACAACAAAAACCCCAGATGCTGGCAAGGCTGCAGAGAAAAGGGAATGCTTATTGACTGTTGATGGAAATGTAAATTAGTTCAGCCACTTTGGAAAACAGTTTGGAATTTCCTAAAGAACTTAAGATGGAGCTACTATTTGACTCAGCAATCCCATTACTGGGTATACATCTAAAAGAAAATAAATTGTTCTAGCAAAAAGACACCTGCCGTAGTGTGTTCATTGCAACACAATTCACAATAGCAAAGATATGCAGTCAACCTAGGTGCCTACCAATGGTGGACTGAATTAAAAAAAAATTGGTCCATATATACCATGGACACAGCCATGAAAAAGAATAAAATCAAATCCTTTGCTGCAACATGATTGCAGCTGGAGGCCATTGTCCTAAATCAATTAACACAGGAAGAGAAAACCAAATACTACATGTTGTCACTTGTAAGCAGGAACTAAACATTGAGTACTCGTTGAAATAAAATTGCCAACAATAGATACGGGTGTCTAGCAGAGTAAGGAGAGATAGGGCTACAGTTCACAAACTATCAGGTATTGTGCTCACAACCTGGGTGATGGGATCATTTGTATCACACAATATTCCCATGCAACACACAATATTCCCATGCAACAAAACTGCATATGTACCCTCATCACAAAATATTCCCATGCAACAAAACTGCATATGTACCCTCTGAATTTAAAATAAAAATAAAAATTATTAAAACAATAAAGTATAATACCTACCAGGAAAAAAAAAGAAATCTTCCTTCGTAAAAGTTTTTCGGTAGTATTTGGCAAATGGTTTATAAAATTCCTATGGAAATGCTAGTGCTCCAGTACAGCCAACACAATCTTGAATAGGAGAACAAGTTTGGAGTCCTGGATTCATAATTCCTGATTTCAAAACTTATACAGACTGACAGTAATCACAGCATTGTGTTACTGGTATAAGGATAGACTAATAGGTCAATGGAATAGAATTGAGTGTCCAATAATTAACCCATACATAAAAATATAAAATCAGTTGTAAGAGGTGAAAGTACAAATCCCATATAGGAGAACATAGAAATACATTTTGGTGCCTTAGGAAAACAATGGCTTGTAATACATCACACCAAAATACAAATGTCACATGTTAAAAATGGTAAAGTGAACTTCATCAGAATTAAATTTTGTGATTCCAATTCAAAGCACACCATCAAGAGTACACAAGCAATCAGAGACAATGTTTGCAAAACATATAGCTGATAGAAGTCTATTGAATAGAAGATATAAAACATTCTTACAACTCAAAAATGAAAAATAAAATGTCTTTTTTTTTTTTTTTTTTTGAGGCAGGGTTTCACTCTTGTTGCCCAGGCTGGAGTGCAATGGCACAATCTCTGCTCACTGCAATCTCCGCCTCCCAGGCAATTATCCTGCCTCAGCCTCTGGAGTAGCTAGGATTACAGGCACCCCCCACCACGCCTGGCTAATTTTCTGTATTTTTAGTAGAGACAGGGTTTCACTATGTTGACCAGGCTGGTCTCCAACTCCTGACCTCAGGTGATCCACCCGCCTTGGCCTCCCAAAGTGCTGGGATTACAGGCGTGAGCCACCACACCTGGCGAAAAATAAAATATTATAATTAAAAGTGGGTAGATTGTGTGAATATATATTTTTACAAAACCTCTTTAGATATGTCCAATAAACACATAAAAATATGCTTATCATTTTTAGTCCTTAGTGAAATGCAAATCTACATCATCATGAGATACACTTCACAAATATAAAAGGCATATGCTTCAGTGGAACAAAGCTAGTTTGTAAAGACTACACAATGTATAAATCCATTTATATGACACTCTGGAAAGGTGGAATTATAGAGATAGATAAAAGGCTCTTTCTTTTGCTATTTCAGATGACAAAATCTAGAATTAATATCCTTTTCTTTGTAGCAATGAGTACATCCACTGGCCAAATGGTTGCTTCTAATACCATTCATGAGCAAAAGGAATTAGAACTTCATGCAGAAATGGTGTGTACTAGGATTGGGCAGGAAACCAAGCAAATTAACCAGAAGTACCTTGTAATGAATAAAAATAAGAAAATGCTAAACAACAAATCAAACCAATGAAACAGACAACCAACCAAACCATAATGATCTAGGTATTTCAAAATGGTATAGGAATCATATAAAAGACCTTCCAAGGACCAACACTGGAACAATTTGAGCAACAAAATAGATAAATTAATGTAAGTATACTTAAATTATGAGAAAAATATCAGAGAAATCCAAATTTAGGTATGTCAATTTCATAAAAAAAGAGTCTCAGAATACATATAGATAGATAGATAGATAGATAGATAGATAAATATTTCATTCTGAATTTCCTTGACAACCTTATAAAATTAGTTGACCGTAACCTTTGGAGCCTAAGGGAGACATGATATCTAAATGTGATGTGGGAGCTTAGGTAGGATATTGAAACAGAAAAAGGACATTAAGTAAAAAGTAAGATAATCTGAAAAAAGTTAGGAAGTTAATGAATAATAATGTGTCCTAATGATTCACTAATTATGATAAATATACCACGTTAATGTATGAGGAAAATAATAAAGGAAACTGTATGTATGGTATGTGTAAATACTGTGTACTGTCTTTGCAACTGTTCTGTAAATCTAAAACTATTCTAAAATAGAAAAGTTTGCCTTTTTGTCAGTTACTGCCAAACTTAATAAACAGAACATTATCAATATTGTTGATGCCCCATGTGTGCATATCCAAGTTGCATTTGTTTCCTCGCCTGGGGAAGATTACTGTTATTTTGAATTGTCTATTTGTCATTCCCTTATTTTTCTTTAATTATTTTTATCTTTTAGTTTATATTTGCAAATAGTATATTGCTTGGTATTTTGTCTTCAAATTTGGATAAACATGAGCGTCTAAATTAAGCCATAACCTTAGTCCAAGCATGATCTGATAGATCTATATTGCGGGACATTCTACAAAATATCCAACCAGTTCTTTTCAAACACATCAACGTTATTTAAAATATGTGAAGTCTGAAAAAATGTTGCAGATTGGAGAAGACCTCATATGGCAGGCAGACTCTAGCATGGCACCCAATTATCCCAATTTATTGGTAAACACAACCTTGTATTCTAATAGTCTCATCCTGAGTTTGGACAGACACTGTGAGTTGCTTGTAAACAGCAAAATATTGCAAAGGTGCTGGGATGTCACTTGGATGATTATGCTACACAAGATTGTGATTTCTGTCTTGCTAGCAAACTCTCTCCTTTAGTGGCTTTGATGAGGCATTCTGCCATTTGGGAGAAGCCAACATGGGAAGGAACTGAATTCAGCCTCAGACCAACAGCCAGCAAGGAACTGAGGCTCCTGGTCCAACAGCTTGACCGATACTTTGCAATATTACATTTAAAGCTAATCCAATTTCCCTTTCAAATAAGAGTATATTGCTTCAGAGGTAGTGTCAACACTTTATAACAGAATACCCCAATTCTTTCCTTCCATTCTTGCTATAAATTCTTTCATGAGTTTCACTTATATATAAGCATACTTCTATAAATATTTATGTATATGTGTTTATATATATAACATACATTAGTATACCTAATCAAATACATTGTTGCTATTGTTATTTTACCAAGCGTTATCTCTTAGAATAAACCTACTAAATAAAAAATAGTCCCTACGGTAATCACTAAAAACGTACAAAGAAGTATTACTGATATGCTAAGAAAAGAGAGAAAACTGAATCATATAAAATGCTCAAATTAAACTATGAAAAGCAGGGAACGACTGGAAGAAAGACAAGGGCAATAACTAAAAGATGGTAGAGATTAACCCAACTATATCAATAATGTCATTGAATGCCAATTGTCAAAATACACCAATTAGGCTGGGAGCGGTGGCTCACGTCTATAATCCCAGCACTTTGGGAGGGGTCGGATCATGAGATCAGGAGATTGAGACCATCCTGGCTAACATGGTGAACCCCGTCTCTACTAAAAATACAAAAATTAGCCGGGCGTGGTGGCAGGCGCCTGTAGTCCCCAGCTACTCAGGAGGCTGTGAAAGGAGAATGGCTTGAACCCGGGAGGCGGAGCTTGCAGTGAGCTGAGATCGCGCCACTGCACTCCAGCCTGGACGACAGAGCAACACTCCGTCTCAAAAAAAAAATAAAAATAAAAAATAAAAACACCAATTAAAAGACACAGATTGTCAGAGTGGATTAAAAAAACACTAAAGTATAAGTTGTTTACAAGAAACTCACTTAAAATATAAAGATACATACAAATTAGAAGTAAAAGGATGAAACAAATATATCATGCTAGCATTAAAAGAAAGTACGTGTATCTGTGTTAATTTTTGACAGCACAGACATTGAAGCAAGCAAAATTATCAAGGATAAACAAAAGCATTAGGTAATAATAAAAGGGTCAATTGTTCAAGAAGATTTAACAATCCTGAACATGTATACAGGTAATAATAGAGTATCAAACTATGTGCGGCAGAAAGTGAGAGAATTGTAAGGAAAAACAGAAGAATTCACTATTGTTGGAGAATTCAACACCTCTCTATCAGAAATGGAAACATACAGCAGACACAAAATCAGTAAGGACATATTTGAACTCAACACTATCACTCATATGGATATAACTTATATCTATAGATCACTTAATTCAACAACAGGCAGAATATACATTCTCCTCTAGCCCACACAGAATCTTCCCCAAAATAAACATATTCTAGAACACAAAGCTCATCTTAAAATATTTAAGAGAATCAAAATTGTACAATATATACTCTCTGACAACAATGAAATTAAACTAGATATCAATAACAGAAAGATAACTGGAAAATCCCAAAATACACGGAGATTAAACATTATACTCTTAAATACAATGTGACCCAAAGAAAAAATCTCAAGAGAAATAAAAACTTTTATAAAATAAATAAAAGTGAAAATACAGCTTACCAAAATATGTGAGATGCAATGAAAGCAGAACTTAGAAGGAAATATATTTACTGTAAAGAAAGCAAAAACAAGATGAAAGATAAAGCAATTGGAATTTTGGAATAAATATTGATAGCTTAATAGTCTGCAGAACATAAAAGCATCCAAAATTAAGAAGGAAAACACAACATCCCAAACAAAACCCTCGCTTAAGAGCTGTAAGGAACATGGCTGTGCTTTGGTCAAGGATCGGCCGAGGTAGGATGTTTACATCCTGCATGACTTAGCGAGTTTAGAGTGCAGGCATGTAGCTCCACTTCTTATCACAGCCATGTAGCCATAACATGGGAAGGCCATTACTTGTCTCTATGCCACTATTGTCCGTAAAAGGTGTAATTGTTCTGTTAACACTGTGCAGACACACTAGCACCCAGAGAAAGAGAGGGAGCCAGAGCTGTCCGTCTTTGCAGACGGACAGAGGGAAGCCAGGATCCAGCTAGGCTCGCTTGTGCCCAGAGAGAGAAAGGGTTAAGCTGCTGACCCTGAAGGCAAGGCAGAGCTGGCTGCGCAGCTGTGTGTGGGGGCCGCAGCACTAAGCAGATGAGACAGGCTGGACAGTGTGAGAAAGCTGTTAATGAGAGTTGCTACTGAATAAAATCATCTTTCACCTGCCTACGGCCCCCCAAGTGTTCTTTCTGCTCATCCACCCACTCCCTTAGGACCTCAGCATGGGCTGGAACCCGACCCCTGGCGTGACAATTGCCATAGTCGTGAACCTGACAAGAGCATACAGAGGTGACTCCCCCATGAAATGAGGAGATACTTCTTGTCAGAAATGATCAACCAAAAGCATACTAAAGTGGTGTGAAAAGAAAATAAATCTTGGGACCCTAGACTCACTAAGCCAAGGGAAAAGTGAAGCAGGGAACGATGTCAGACAAACCCGCCTCTCATTTTATTCCTAAATAAGATAGCTACAAAGCTAAAGCTACACATCCTCCTCACAATTTGCCCACAAGAACATTCCTTGTGGGCCTCAAGATTTCTACTCTAAAACAGTTCTGTTGAATTTCACCCTGGCAATGTAAACTGACAGCTTATCGTCACAGGTGTGGGACAGAAAGTCATCCCTCTGCTCACCTAAGACAAATGCATATCTGATTGCTTCCTCTGCCCTATTGTTTATGTAAAAATGCAGATTCACCGAGCCAGACTAAATTGTGTATTCAGTGAAAGGCTGACCAAGGATTCAAAAAAATGTAACCTTTTGTCTCTTATCTGCCTATGGTCTGGAAGCCTCTTACATCGAGTTGTCCTGCTTTTCCTGACCCAACCAATGTACATCTTACACATATTTACTGATGTCTCATGACTCCCTAAAATGGATAAAAGCAAGCTGTGCCCCGACCATTTTGGGCACATGTTGTCAGGACCTCCTGAGGCTGTGTCACAAGCACATCCTTAACCTTGGCAAAATAATCTTCCTAAATTCGTTGAGATCTATCTCAGATATTTTGGGTTCACAGGGGGATGTTTGTTTGTTTGTTTACTAAGTAGGCAAATACTGTACATATAAATAATTCACCAAAGAAATTTAGGTCGGTAGCAATTGCTATGTATATAATTTAAAAGAGGCCCTGTGATGGAAATAGTAAAGTCATATATGTTTTGCCGAGACACACGAGAATACCATGAGGTTTGCATGAGAATATCAAAGAACATGTAAGAGAAGATGGAGACATAGATGTGTGAACATGTGTATGTTAATGAAGAAACGTATCCATTGTGTCTATCCTCAGTCCCTCCATGGTCTGCCCTTCCTGCTCCTGTCCTCATATATTACTGATCCCAGTAGTCCTTCCAATCCACTGCCCCTTCTCATGGCTTGGCCTGTGCCACAGACACACTTTCTCCTCTTTCCTTCCCATTTGCTGGACTCACTGATTCTCACTTTCCAGAATCTCCTCCAATGTTCCTCCTCCTACAGGTCTCCTTTGTTCATCCCATTCCAGGTCTGATGCCTTTGCCCTGAGTTCTCAAGGGCAGCTCTTTCACCTATAGTGCATATTTCTGTTAAGTTTTTTCAATACCCACTGAACTGAAATACCAGAGAATATGAATACTTTGTCGATGTGGCTCCCTTACAAACTCCACACAGGTAGTGGACAAAGAACAACAGAAAATTATCCTTTATACTGGATTTCACTAATGAATGAATCTCTCAAATTCTTCACCTATATTTTTCCCAATAAACTCCAACATTCTTTCAATCTGAAGGGGTTTTGAACTTGAAGATTAACCTTTTTTTTTTTTTTTACTTTCTTCTGTTCTGAGGACAGGATGTGAGCCCTGACTTTTCCCTCAGCCAGTCTCTTCTCCAGCCGCACCATTCTCAAACCACCATAGAGACCTGCTATGGACCATGCTAATTCTCAACGATTTGTACTTCTTATCCTTTTGGACAGGTTTGTCCTCTGAGATCAAGGAAAGTCTTCTTGTGCTCTAAGATTCTAAGATTCAGTTTATCAATATGCTCTCTTGATAGGTATTTTTGTGTCTGTATCAGTTACCACATTTCACCTCTTTTAGTACTTTTTTCACATTTTATCATAATTATTATTACTCTGGTGGCAGCCATGGCATAGTTTTCAGTGTCTGCACATGGAACAATTTCCCCTGACATCTTATGCTGTCATCTTCTGGAAAGTTCAGCTGCATAAATAAAGTTCACCTGCATTATAATTTGAAGAATGTGTGTTAATAGGAAAGGCAGAAATCACACAGGCAATGGTGCAGCCTCCTTTATAAAGCAATGTTTCATTGCTATAATTCTTCATACCAGTGGGTGATGTTATACCACCTGTAACTCTGGATGAAAATATGATTCATAACAATCAGAATCAGAATACCAATATATTTATGGATTAATTTATGAGTTATTTAAATTTTGCTTTAATTTTTATGTGAATAAAACTTTATAATTCTATAAAGGATTTTATTGTAATTATAAAATAATGCTATTGTATGTGTAATTGATTGGCAAAGATATTATTCTTTTCTTTAGATTTTTCTTAAAACATTCATTCATTGACATACAGTAGACAACCCCATGGAGACTCTTAAGACTCAGTGCATTGGTTAATTCTGACCTTCCCTTTGGCAATACAATGGTAGTGCAGTTATCTCTCTTTATAAACTTCATTCACGCTCTTCTTTTTTTTTTATTATACTTTAAGTTTTAGGGTACATGTGCACAACATGCAGGTTAGTTACATATGTATACATGTGCCATGTTGGTGTGCTGCACCCATTAACTCGTCATTTAGCATTAGGTATATCTCCTAATGCTATCCCTCCCCCCTCCCCCCACCCCACAACAGGACCTGGTGTGTGATGTTCCCCTTCCTGTGTCCCTGCATGCTCATTGTTCAATTCTCACCTATGAGTGAGAACATGCGGTGTTGGTTTTTTGTCCTTTCGATAGTTTGCTGAGAATGATGGTTTCCAGCTTCATCCATGTCCCTACAAAGGACATGAACTCATCTTTTTTATGGCTGCATAGTATTCCATGGTGTATATGTGCCACATTTTCTTTTTTTTTTTTCTTTTCTTTTTTTTATTATACTTTAGGTTTTAGGGTACATGTGCACATTGTGCAGGTTAGTTACATATGTATACATGTGCCATGCTGGTGCGCTGCACCCACTAACTCGTCATCTAGCATTAGGTATATCTCCCAATGCTATCCCTCCCCACTCCCCCCACCCCACCACAGTCCCCAGAGTGTGATATTCCCTTTCCTGTGTCCATGTGATCTCATTGTTCAATTCCCACCTATGAGTGAGAATATTTTCTTAATCCAGTCTATCATTATTGGACATTTGGGTTGGTTCCAAGTCTTTGCTATTGTGAATAGTGCCGCAATAAACATACCTGTGCATGTGTCTTTATAGCAGCATGATTTATAATCCTTTGGGTATACACCCAGTAATGGGATGGCTGGGTCAAATGGTATTTCTAGCTCTAGATCCCTGAGGAATAGCCACACTGACTTCCACAATGGTTAAACTAGTTTACAGTCCCACCAAAAGTGTAAAAGTGTTCCTACTTCCCCACATCCTCTCCAGCACCTGTTGTTTCCTGACTTTTTAATGATTGCCATTCTAACTGGTGTGAGATGGTATCTCATTGTGGTTTTGCTTTGCATTTTTCTGATGGCCAGTAATCATGAGCATTTTTTCATGTCTTTTGGCTGCATAAATGTCTTCTTTTGAGAAGTGTCTGTTCGTATCCTTCACCCACTTTTTGATGGGGTTGTTTGTTTTTTTCTTGTAAATTTGTTGGAGTTCATTGTAGATTCTGGATATTAGCCTTTTGTCAGATGAGTGGATTGCAAAAATTTTCTCCCATTCTGTATGTTGCCTGTTCACTCTGATGGTGGTTTCTTTTGCTGTGCAGAAGCTCTTTAGTTTAATTAGATACCATTTCTCAATTTTGGCTTTTGTTGCCATCGCTTTTGGTGTTTTAGACATGAAACCATATGATTATCTCAATAGCTGCAGAAAAGGCCTCAACAAAATTCAACAACCCTTCATGCTAAAAACTCTCAATAAATTAGGTATTGATGGGACGTATCTCAAAATAATAAGAGCTATCTATGACAAACCCAAAGCCAATATCATACTGAATGGGCAAAAAGTGGAAGCACTCCCTTTGAAAACTGGCACAAGACACGGATGCCCTCTCTCACCACTCCTATTCAACATAGTGTTGGAAGTTCTGGCCAGGGCAATCAGGCAGGAGAAGGAAATAAAGGGTATTCAATTAGGAAAACAGGAAGTCAAATTGTCCCTGTTTGCAGATGACATGATTGTATATATAGAAAACCCCATCGTCTCAGCCCAAAATCTCCTTAAGCTGATAGGCAACTTCAGCAAAGTCTCAGGATACAAAATCAATGTGCAAAAGTCACAAGCATTCTTATACACCAATAACAGACTAACAGAGTCAAATCATGAGTGAACTCCCATTCACAATTGCTTCAAAGAGAATAAAATACCTAGGAATCCAACTTACAAGGGACTTGAAGGACCTCTTCAAGGAGAACTACAAACCACTGCTCAATGAAATAAAAGAGGATACAAAGAAATGGAAGAACATTCCATGCTCACAGGCACGAAGAATTAATATCGTGAAAATGGCCATACTGCCCAAGGTAATTTATAGATTCAATGCCATCCCCATCAAGCTACCAATGACTTTCTTCACAGAATTGGAAAAAGCTACTTTAAAGTTCATATGCAACCAGAAAGGAACCCCCATTGCCAAGTCAATCCTAAGCCAAAAGAACAAAGCTGGAGGCATCACGCTACCTGACTTCAAACTATACTACAAGGCTACAGTAACCAAAACAGCATGGCACTAGTACCAAAACAGAGATATAGACCAATGGAACAGAACAGAGCCCTCAGAAATAATGCTGCATATCTACAACTATCTGATCTTTGACAAACCTGACAAAAACATGAAATGGGGAAATGATTCCCTATTTAATAAATGGTACTGGGAAAACTGGTTACCCATATGTAGAAAGCTGAAACTGGATCCCTTCCTTACACCTTATACAAAAATTAATTCAAGATGGATTAAGGACTTAAATGTTAGACCTGAAACCATAAAAACCCTAGAAGAAAACCTAGGTAATACCATTCAGGACATAGGCATGGGCACATTCTTCTTTATTAACCTTAATATTGCCAGCTGGAAGCAGATAGCCAAGCCAGAGGTACAGTAATGATTGAGTAATTGTATAAGGAAGAAACCAAGGTGTTGTGGATAAAGCTATAGCATTGGGACATACCTTATCTCATGTAAACACATGCAAAAGGGAAAGATATGAGACAACAGTTTGCAGAAAACTGTACACAAGACAATGAAGGATAGAATGATACCTGAGTGATGTGAAACAATGATTGAGACCTAGTAAGGCTTCAGGTTACTGCTTTCAGAGAGTCCCAGGCTGCACTGTGGCAGGCACCTGGGAAAGCAGGAGAATGGAGAAGATGGACCTGGTATTCTGGAGAACAATTTGTCCCAATTTCATCAAGCCAATCTTCATATCCAGTGGTAAGAAGGAGACAGGGTTATCATGGCAGCATCCATGCAGGCAGAGGTGCTATGTTCTGTCATTACTCTACGGGGGCATGGGTCACAGAACTGCAGGAATAATACAGGAGAAAAGTGTGAAGACACAAGGAGAAGTCATTTTTATAAGCCTGGCCTTCAACCCTTTCATCTAATTCCTGACTGCAAGAACAACAGATGCTTTTGCATGATACAACTATCTTGCAACAGCCCCAGGATGAAGAGGTACTCTTTATAGGTGATGTAAATTACCTTTATAAGTAAGTTGAACCACCCTATGTGGACCCTAAGCTTTCTTTTCTATTATTTCTTGTTACATGTGGCTAATAAACTAATTACATTATCAACTAATTAATGTAGACCTTTCTTTATGAAATAGCAGAACACAATTATCATCAAAAGAAGGAGAAACAAGTAACACTTACTGTCAGGCCTCTGAGCCTAAGCTAAGCCATCACATCCCCTGTGACCTGCATGTATGCATCCAGATGGCCAGTTCCTGCCTTAACTGATGACATTCCTCCACAAAAGAAGTGAAAATGGCCTGTTCCTGCCTTAACTGATGACAATTACCTTGTGAAATTCCTTCTCCTGGCTCATCCTGGCTCAAAAACTCCCCCGCTGAGCACCTTGTGACCCCCACCCCTGCCTGCCAGAGAACAACCCCCCTTTTTCCTTTACCTACCCAAATCTTATAAAACGGCCCCACCCCATCTCCCTTTGCTGACTCTCTTTTTGGACTCGGCCCGCCTGCACCCAGGTGAAATAAGCAGTCTTGTTGCTCACAGAAAGCCTGTTGGTGGTCTCTTCACACAGACACGAGTGAAATTTGGTGCTGTGACTCTGATCGGGGGACCTCCCTTGGGAGATCAATCCCCTGTCCTCCTGCTCTTTGTTCCATGAGAAAGATCCACCTACGACCTCTGGTCCTCAGACCAACCAGCCCAAGGAACATCTCACCATTTTTAAATCTGGTAAGCAGCCTTTTTTACTCTCTTCTCCAACCTCTGTTACTATCCCACAACCTCTTTCTCCTTTGAATCTTGGCACCATACTTCAGTCTCTCCCTTCTCTTAATTTCAGTTCCTTTCCTTTTCTGGTAGAGACGAAGGAGACATGTTTTATCTGTGGACCCAAAACTCCGGCGCCAGTCTCGGACTCGGGAAGACAGTCTTCCCTTGGTGTTTAATCATGCGGGGACACCTGCCTGATTATTCACCCACGTTTCAGAGGTGTCTGACCACGTGGGGATGCCTGCCTTGGTCCTGTCACCCTCAGCGGCAAGTACTGCTTTTCTGGGGGGAAGGAAACCCCCGATCCCTTCTCTCCATGTCTCTACCCCTTCTCCAGTTTCCTGGGGGGCAAGCATCCCCCATCCCTTCTCTCTGTGTCTCTACCCTCTTTTCTCTGGACTTGCTTCCTTCACTATAGGCAACCTTCCACCCTCCATTCCTCCTTCTCCCTTAGCCTGTGTTCTCAAAGACTTAACACCTCTTCAACTCACACCTGACCTAAAATCTAAACACCTTTTCTTCTGCAATGCCGCTTGACCCCAATACAAACTCGACAGTGGTTCCAAATAGCCAGAAAATGGCACTTTCAATTTTTCCATCCTACAAGATCTAAATAATTCTTGTCGTAAAATAGGCAAACAGTCTGAGGTGCCTGACGTCCAGGCATTCTTTCACACACTGTTCCCTCCCTAGTCTCTGTTTCCAATGTGACTCATCCCAAATCCTCCTTCTTTGCCTCTCGCCTGTTCCCTCAGTCCCAACCCCAAGCATCACTGGGTCTTTCTAATCTTCCTTTTCTACAGACCCATCTGACCTCTCCCCTCCTCCCCAGGCTGCTCCTTGCCAGGCTGAGCTAGGTCCAATTCTTCCTCAGCCTCCCCTCCTCACACCTGGTCCTGCTTACAGTTTCGTTCTGTGACCAGCCCTCCCTGACCTGCCCAAGAATTTCCTCTTAAAAAGGTGGCTGGAGCTAAAGGCACAGTCGAGGTTAATACTCCTTTTTCTTTATCCGACCTCTCCCAAATCAGTTAGCATTTAGGCTCTTTTTCATCAAATATGAAAAACCCAGCCCAGTTCATGGCTCGTTTGGTAGCAACCCTGAGACACTTTACAGCCCTAGACCCTAAAAAGTCAAAAGGCCACCTTATTCTCAATATACATTACCCAATCTGCTCCCAACTTTAAATAAAGCTCCAAAAATTAAATTCTGGCCCTCAAACCCCACAACAGGACTTAATTAACCTCGCCTTCAAGGTGTACAATAATAGAAAAATTTTGCAATTCCTTGCCTCCACTGTGAAACAAACCCCAGCCACATCTCCAGCACACAAGAACTTCCAAACACCTCAACCGCAGCGGCCAGACGTTCCTCCAGAACCTCCTCCCCCAGGAGCTTGCTACAAGTGCCAGAAATCTGGCCACTGGGCCAAGGAATGCCTGCAGTCCAGGATTCCTCCTAAGCCATGTCCCATCTATGCGGGACCCCACTGAAAATTGGACTGTTCAACTCACCTGGCAGCCACTCCCAGAGTCCCTGGAACTGTGGCCCAGTGCTCTCTGACTGACTCCTTCCCAGATCTTCTCAGTTTAGCGGCTGAAGACTGATGCTGCCCGATCGCCTCAGAAGCCCCCTAGACCATCATGGATGCCGAGCTTCAGGTAACTCTCACAGTGGAAGGTAAGTCTGTCCCCTTCTTAATCAATACGGAGGCTACCCACTACACATTACCTTCTTTTCAAGGGCCTGTTTCCCTTGCCTCCATAACTGTTGTAGGTATTGATGGCCAGGCTTCTAAACCTCTTAAAACTCCCCAACTCTGGTGCCAACTTAGACAATACTCCTTTAAGCACTCCTTTTAGTTATCCCCACCTGCCAGTTCCCTTATTAGGCCGAGACATTTTAACTAAATTATCTGCTTCCCTAACTATTCCTAGGCTACAGCCACACCTCATTGCCAACTTTTCCCCCAGTTCAAAGCCTCCTTCACTTCCTCCTCTCATATCCCCCACCTTAACCTACAAGTATAAGATACCTGTACTCCCTCCTTGGTGACCGATCATGCATCCCTTACCATCTCATTAAAACCTAATCACCCTTACCCCACTCAATGCCAATATCCCATCCCACAGCATGCTTTAAAAGGATTAAAGCCTGTTATCACTCCCTGTTACAGCATGGCCTCTTAAAGCCTATAAACTCTCCTTACAATTCCCCCATTTTACCTGTCCTAGAACCAGACAAGCCTTACAGGTTAGTTCAGGATCTGCACCTTTCCAACCAAATTGTTTTGCCTATCCACTCCATGGTGCCAAACCCATATACTCTCCTATCCTCAACACCTCCCTCCACAACCCATTATTCTCTTCTGGATCTCAAACATGCTTTCTTTACTATCCCTTTGCACCCTTCATCCCAGCCTCTCTTTGCTTTCACTTAGACTGACCCTGACACCCATCAGGCTCAGCAAATTACCTGGGCTGTACTGCCACAAGCCTTCACAGATAGCCCCCATTACCTCAGTCAAGCCCAAATATCATCCTCATCTGTTACCTATCTCGGCATAATTCTCATAAAAACAAACGTGCTCTCCCTGCTGATCGTGTCTGACTGATCTCCCAAACCTCAATCACTTCTACAAAACAACAACTCCTTTCCTTCCTAGGCATGGTTAGTGCAGTCAGAATTCATACACAAGAGCCGGGACTGCACCCTGTAGCCTTTCTGTCCAAACAACTTAACCTTACTGTTTTAGCGTAGCCCTCATGTCTGTGTGCAGCGGCTACCACTGCCTTAATACTTTTAGAGGCCCTCAGAATCACAAAATGTGTTCAACTCACTCTCTACCGTTCTCATAACTTCCAAAATCTATTTTCTTACTCACACCTGATGCTTATACTTTCTGCTGCCCTCCACTACCTCTCAGCAAGCCGAACTCACTGCCTTAACTTGAGCCCTCACTCTTGCAAAAGGACTACGCGTCAATATTTGTACTGACTCTAAATATGCCTTCTATATCTTGCACCACCATGCTGTTATATGGGCTGAAAGAGATTTCCTCCCTACGCAAGGGTCCTCCATCATTAATGCCTCTTTAATAAAACGCTTCTCAAAGCCGCTTTACTTCCAAAGGAAGCTGGAGTCATTCACTGCAAAGGCCATCAAAAGGCATCAGATCCCACTGCTCAGGACAATGCTTATGCTGATAAGATAGCTAAAAAAGCAGCTAGCGTTCCAAATTACATCCCTCACTTTCAGTTTTTCTCCTTCTCATCTGGCCACTCCCACCTGCTCCCCTGCTGAAACTTCCACCTATCAATCTCTTCCCACACAAGGCAAACGGTTCTTAGACCAAGGAAAATAACTCCTTCCAGCCTCACAGGCCCATTCTATTCTGTCATCATTTCATAACCTCTTCCATGTAGGTTACAAGCCACTAGCCTGCCTGTTAGAACCTCTCATTTCCTTTCCATCGTAGAAATCTATCCTCAAGGAAATCACTTCTCAGTGTTCCATCTGCTATTCTACTACTCCTCAGGAATTTCTCAGGCCCCCTCCCTTCCCTACACATCAAGCTCGGGGATTTGCCCCTGCCCAGGACTGGCAAATTGACTTTACTCACGTGCCTCAAGTCAGAAAACTAAAATACCTCTTGGTCTGGGTAGATACTTTCACTGGATAGGTAGAGACCTTTCCTACAGGGTCTGAGAAGGCCACCATGGTCATTTCTTCCCTTCTGTCAGACATAATTCCTCGGTTTGGCCTTCCCACCTCTATACGGTCTGATAGCAGACCGGCCTTTATTAGTCAAATCACCCAACCAGCTTTTTAGGCTCTTGGTATTCAGTGAAACCTTTATATCCCTTACCGTCCTCAGTCTTCAGGAGAGGTAGAATGGACTAATGGTCTGTTAAAAACACACCTCACCAAGCTCAGCCACCAACTTAAAAAGGACTGGACAATACTTTTACCACTTGTCGTTCTCAGAATTCAGGCCTGTCCTCAGAATGCTACAGGGTACAGCCCATTTGAGCTCCTGCATAGACGCTCCTTTTTATTAGGTCCCAGTCTCATTCCAGACACCAGAACAACTTGGACTGCACCCCAAAAAACTTGTCATGACAAATATGACTATCTTCTGTCTAGTCATACTCCTATTCACCATTCTCAACTATTCCTAAATGCCCCGCTCTTGTTTACACTGTCAGTAAACTGTTTCTGCAATCCATCACAGCTGGTATCTCCTGGTGCTAGCCCCAAACCGCCACTCTTAACTCCCTCTTAAAGTAAATAAATAATCTTTGCTGGCAGGGCTATGCTGAACCTCCTTAGGCACTCTCTAATTGGATGTCCTATATCCTCCCAATTCTTAGTCCTTTAATACCTGTTTTTCTCCTTGTCTTATTCCTTTTAGTTTTTCAATTCATACAAAACCATATCCAGGCCATCACCAATAATTCTATACGACAAATGTTTCTTCTAACCATCCCACAATATCACCCCTTACCGCAAAATCTTCCTTCAGCTTAATGTCTCCCACTCTAGGTTCCCACGCCGCCCCTAATCCCGCTCGAAGCTGCCCTGAGAAACATCGCCCATTGTCTCTCCATACCACCCCCCAAAATTTTCGCTGCTCCAACACTTTACCACTTTTTCATTTTATTTTTCTTATTGATATAAGAAGACAGGAATGTCAGGCCTCTGAGCCCAAGCTAAGCCATCATATCCCCTGTGACCTGCATGTACACATCCAGATGGCTGGTTCCTGCCTTAACTGATGACATTCCACCACAAAAGAAGTGAAAATGGCCTGTTCCTGACTTAACTGATGACATTACCTCGTAAAATTCCTTCTCCTGGCTCATAAGCTCCCTCACTGAGCACCTTGTGACCCCCACCCCTCCCTGCCAGAGAACAATCCCCCTTTTTCCTTTACCTACCCAAATCTTATACAACGGCCCCACCCCGATCTCCCTTCGCTGACTCTCTTTTTGGATTCAGCCCGCTGCACACAGGTGAAATAAACAGCCTTGTTGCTCACACAAAGCCTGTCTGGTGGTCTCTTCACATGGACGCGAGTGAAACTTATCTCCTCTATTTTTTCCCCAGAATTCCTCCAGTTTCCTTTTATTTTGAGAATCGTCCTGCCTTTCTCTTTACAAAGCAAATGCTAGTCTATGTAGTTTGCATGAAGTATAGAGTTGCTCTCTATATGCAGTAAAATGATGGTTAATGGTGCCAGGATGTAATATAATAAAGTAAGGATGACAAGTTTTTTTTTCTTTTTTTTTTTTTGAGATGGAGTCTTGTTCTGTTGCCCAGGCTGGAGTGCAGTGGCTTGATCTTGGCTCACTGCAACCTCCACCTCCCAGGTTCAAGCAATTTTCATGCCTCAGCCTCTGGAGTAGCTGGGATTACAGGTTCATGCCACCATGGCCAGCTAATTTTTGTATTTTTAGTAGGGACAGGGTTTCGCCATGTTGGCCAGGCTGGTTTTGAACACCTGACCTCAGGTGATCTGCCCGCTTCGGCCTCCCAAAGTGCTGGGATTACAGGCATGAGACACTGTGCGCAGCCTGATAATCATTTTTAAACAACCAATGTCTGGTGTTAATATTCTCTGCATATAGTACTGAAGCCCAGAACCCCTGTAGCTTTAAGATGGCAAAACATGGCCATTTAGTAATATGGAGTTACGACACCCATAAAGTATCAATGTTTTTGGTCTGTTGATTGCTTACATCTCACATGTCTTGAACTAATGCTTCCCCTCACCAGAATATTTTTTAAACCATTAGATTGACAATGTAATTACCTGCATAGCAGACATATGCTAGGAAGTCTCAGAGACTCTCCCTGCAGGAATGCTTCATTCCCAAGAGAATGTGCTCCTCTCAACACTGTCATGTTCCCATTAGGGCCCTCCACATTGCATGCCCTAAATAAATCCTGTTCTGCCTGTTGGAGTCCTGATTTATTCCTGTCTTCTCCTTGCTTTTGTATCCTGAGGAATCTCATTTTCACTAGCCAGTTAAAAAGTTGACCTAGTTTGCTTTTGGAACCACTTACTTCAATGCACCACCCAACTGACCCTTCTTTCTTCGCCCATAAAGTTTCATTTGTCCTCCATCCTATGAAACCTACTTCCAAGAAAGTCTCTGATATCAGTCATTCACAGCTTAGTATGCATTTAAAGCAAAGGTACTATTTACCTAAGACAGATAATTTTTTTAGCAGAGATTTTGTTTGGCTTCTTTTTTTCTAGTCCCTCCCATGCCCCATTTCATGCATTGGATAAATCCAGGATCTAGATCATGGCTGTAAAACTTAGCAAATATTTGATTTTATGAGCCTCAATTTTCCTATCTGGAAGGCACATCTGATGATGATATTCCTGTCCTGGGACTTCTGAGAGAGCCATTCCCAGCTCTGCCTCAGGTAAAGAATGAATTGCTGTTTGGGAAGCCCTCATTGCATCACATAACCCTGGGATCACAGCAGTGACTGGTTAAGGGGGCCCTGGACAGTGTTCTCACAGTTGGGGGCAGTTTCTAGACCTCTAACATGAAGATATTTAGAGCAAGAAAGACATGCATCCATGAGTTGGAAATTCTCAAATTTTCCGCAGGCCATTTTCTAGTTCATGAGACACAGATGTAAGGAAAACACTCTGCTTATTACTAATTAGGGCTTTGGAACCACATCCTATACAAATTTTTTTATCTTATGAGATGAATGAGGACTTTGGTGAGCTCTCATGTAAGGTGTGAAGCAGTGTTTGGAATAATAGGAAACATGGACTGTCTGCATCATACCTCCCTAGAGTGCTGCCTGGAATCCAGATTCCTGGCTCTACCATAGATTCAGGAAATTAGGATGATGCAGCCAGAATTAGACATTTTTTAAAAATTATTGATTAGTGAGCATTTCTGGGCTAAACTAAAAGCAGTTTGGGTGGCTCCTTTAGGCCTCTTTCTTCTGAGACCATGTCCTTATGTTTGAAATGCTTGTTCCTCGGTGTCGTAAAGAAATAGCACTTGAACATAAATTTATTTAGTAAGGCCATTTTTACTTCCTGCAGAAAGGGTACACTTGCCAGCAGTTTTGCCACAAGAGTACACCGAACAAAGGAGACAGGGTCATTTATAACCTGACGCGTCCACCCTACTGCTGTGTCCGGTTTCCATTGGCTGGAACAGGACCTCACATTCTGTATTTGTCCCGATTGGCTAGCAATTTAGAACTTTTAAAAGAGGCAAAGGTAGAGGAGAACAAAGGAATGAGGAAGTAACTTGTGGAATGCTGAGAAAGGTAAAAACACTTCTAAATAAGGAAGAGGAACAGGCTATGACCTAATGCTTGGACCAGTATAAGCATGCCAGGGCAAATACTTAGGCTAAATTGTGGGAGCTAAGAACATAAAGTACATTGATTTCTTTATTATGACTAGCAGATATTTAAGAATGTTAGTACAGGTCTGTGAATACATTTTGCTTCTAAAAGAAGTTACTACTTATTTCTAATTAGATAGGGAGGAAAGTCTTTGAAGAGGAACCTCTACTTTACTTTTTACATTTACTTTGGTCTTACCACTCCCAAACCAGTGGAGGAGGCTCAAGGTTTCTGGAAAAGGAAGGGATTCAGTCAAGTAAACAATACTATTTGAAAATTCTAGAAACCAAAAACATTTTTTTTTTATGGGAAAAGAGTTCAAGGAGAAAAAAAGGAAGGCACTTCAAGTTTTAGGAAAAACAATGACATCTGTAAGATAACATAATAGTTGAAGTAAAAAAGCAAACTCAGAACTATGGGAGTGACATCAAAGTAGCTAAACACTATCTCTGGAGGAGGGAACTGTGGTAGGAAGGTTGACTTTCAGTATTATTTAAATTGATATTATGTTTGCTTTTTATCTTAATAAAAAATAAAAGAATATTTAGAAATAGTTTCAGTTGTGTAAGTGCATCAAAACATGAAAACAAAAATTATCTTTGTATCTCTCACACATTTATTCAAAGTTTGTCTTACCAGGATCATAATATTTAGCTTGAAGCCTTTTAAAAAATGTCAAGAAGTATGAATTTTAAAAAATTTGTCCCTGGTAATACTGCAAGGGTATAGGGCTATTAGAAGAAAACTGGATTTCCACTCTACTTCTGAAAGGCAGTTCTGATTACAAAAGTTAGGTGATTATCTGGCCAGGAAACAGGAGCTTTGATCCTCTGGAACTGTACTAAACAATTTAGAGCGAATGAATCAGGCCCCAGGGTGCCAAGAGGAATTCAGTAATTTCTCTGTGATTGTTTTCTTTCAGGCCTAATCTCATAAATGTTTTAGTCTCTGTTATCATATTTTTACATGTGTTTGCTTCATAAAAGTAAGTGCTTTTATGCTAATAAAAAGGGGTTCTTCCGAGAGGTGGAGCGTGCAGTGAGCCAAGATCACGCCACTGCACTCCAGCCTGGGTGACAGAGCAAGACTCCATCTCAAAAAAAAAAGGGGGTTCTTCTATTCTTCTATTTGAATTGCCTAATAAAGGCAATCAGGGCACCATTGCCTAAGGAACTCAGTCATTGACCATACATATATATGTATATTATCTATCTATCTATCTATCTATCTATCATCTATCTCTATCATCTATCTATGTATCTATCTATCATCTATCTATCTTTATTAGTCAGTTCTGATTGCTACAAAAAATGCCACAGACTGGTAGCTTAAACAACATTCAATTATTTTCTACAATTCTAAAGGTTAGGAAGTCCAAGATAAAGACAAATTCTGTTTCTTGTGAGGACTCTTTTCCTGGCTTACAGACTGTTACCTTGTTGGTATACCTTCACATGGCAATTAGAGAAAGCACTGGTATTTCTTCTCATAAAGGCGCAAATCCCATCATGGGGGTTTCATTTTCATGACTTCATCTAAACCTAATCACCTCCCCAAAGCCTCACCTCCTAATACCATCACACTGGAAGTTAGGCTTCAAAATATCAATTTTTGGGGGTACACAAACATTCAGTCCATAACGTTATCATCTATCTATCTATCTATCTATCATCTAATCTATCCATCCGTCTATCCATCCCTATGTATATAACAAATTACAACAAAAGCTTATAAGTCATTTCTCCATATTATTTCATTTTATCCTTTCAAAAATCTTATGAGATAAACAGGCCATAGTAAAAGTACTGATTTCATTGAGACTTTTGAAGTTTGAGTCAACTGTTATTACACAATTAGTAAAAAGTGGAGGAAGGAATTCCACTCACATCTCTCCTCTGTCCTCTTCTCTATCCCTCCCTCCCACTTGCTGACTCCATTCCAGCCACATTTCCTTACTAACTGCTCCATGAGGACACCAGGGATCCTTCCTTTGAGCCTCTGCAATGACCACTCCTATTATCTGGAAAGGTCTTTGCTCATATATCTGGCTCAACTGCTTCTCTCTAGGCTTCGTTTAAATTTACCTTCCCAGTGAGGCTTGTTCACAGTGTAAACTGAAACACCTGCTTCTATCTACAATCTCAATCCTCCATGTACTTCTTTATTTTTCATAGCATTCGTTACTGGCTAATTTACCAGATAATTTCCATGTTTTTGCTTCTTTTCTCCCCTTCAACTAGAATATAGGGTCCACAAAGTCGGGAATTTTGCCTTTCTGTCCATGACTAGAGAGAACTGGCCCAGAGGTAGGGTCAGCCAAGTTAACAGTCAAGCCAGGTTTCCTCTACCCTCCACAGTGCAGAAGACCACTAAAATACAGTGCGGTTCTGACTGGGCTCATCTGCTCCACACTCACCAATAAACACACACACACACACACAAACACACACACTCTCTCTCTCTCTGTCTGTGGTTTTGGGCCTCCAGCTTCTGTAGGAAGAGAGCAGGTTAAGTTTAACCTTGAGGGAACTGAGCCCATTCCTCCTGGAACAATGTCAATTTATGAGAACTGTATGTGCAGGGAGAGTGCTTATTTCTTAAGACCATTGATAGGAGTAAAAAATGAGTTGGTGGCTCCTATGAAGGCCTTGGCAGGTACAAGTGTCACTAGTGGCTGCTTTCCATCACAGGCACAGGTGCTCTGACCAGGACCATCCAAACACAAGTATTTAACTAACAATGCTGGCTCCTCTAGGCTGGGCATGGTGGCTCACACCTGTCATCCTAGCACTTTGGGAGGCCGAGGTGGGTGGATCACCTGAGGTCAGGAGTTTGAGACCAGCCTGGCCAATAAGGTGGAACTCTGTCTCTGCTAAAATTATAAAAAATAGCCAGGTGTGGTGGCATATGCCTGTAGTCCCAGCTACTCAGGAGGCTAAGACAGGAGAATTGCTTGAACCCAGGAGGTGGAGGTTGCAGTGAGCCGAGATTGTGCTACTACACTCCAGCCTGGGCTAAGGCTCCGTCTCAAAAACAAACAAACAAACAAACAAACAAACAAACAAACCAAAACAAAAACAATGCTGGTTCCTCTAAAGTCAAAAGGAGCACCTTGGTTGGGCAGGTCCATAGTATTTTTACTGAAAGGGAGACTAGAGGTTTCTCCCTACAAATATCTGGGGCTATCTCCTATTGCACCACCTGCATTTAGCCAGGTGGGCCTCAGGTGCTTTGTGTAAATGGGGGACCAAAAGTACAACCAGTCACAGCCGTTGTGTTGCTGTCCCTCATTGCATGGTTTGTGCTTTGTCCAGGTGGGCCCCAGGTGCTTTGCTGATACATGGGCACATGAGGGCCTTCTATCAAATGAATGTTGACACTCCTGGAAGAGGTACCATCTGTGTTTTGTCCAGGTGGGCCCTAGGTACTTTGTTGGTAGGTGGATACACAAGGGCCTCTAATTAAAGATATGTTGCCATTCACTGCAGATGCACCACCTGTGTTTTGTCCAGGTGGGACCCATGTGTACTGACAGAGAAAGGGAGCACAGGGATGTTGTTGTCCCCTCCTGGTGCACAACCTGAGTTCTGGAGAGGTACATGGCAGGTGCTTGGCATGAAGATGAAACTAGAAGCATGACCATACAAAAGGATAATGCTGGTATTTACAACCACAACTGATGTGGTGTGATCAGGTGAACCACAGGTGCTCTTACGGAAGTTGGAAACAGACATGTCTCCTAACATATGTTTCTTGTCCATAGTAGTGGGTGCTTGAAGTGTAGAATTTTCTCTCTGTCCATGTGTGCTGCAGGATGCACTGTTGAAAAGCAGGAACACAAGGGCCTCCAACTATGGATCTGGTGCCATCCCCTCCCATACCACTGCATGAATTCTGGGTAGGTGGGTCTAAACCAGGAATGTAGGCGGCAGCAGAAGTATATCCAAATACAGGAATGTTGCTAGCCCCTTGTGGTGCAGCAGCCATGCTGTGGCCAGTTGGGTCCCAGGCTGCCTGACCAAATGGGAAAACAGAAGTGGTGCTGGGTGTCCCACTCTGTCCTTGTCCAATGTTGAGTTCTCCTGATGTGGAACTGGGGCCTGGGGCAGACATGCTGAACCCAATGCTCCCACCATCCATAGGGGTTCCAGGTCCCATAATCACTTGTGGGCCTGGAATAGTATTTCCAACCAGTAAGGTACTGTCTCCAGTGCCAGGCATCCCAGTGGCAATTCTAAATCCAGAAGTCTTTGCTGTGCCATTGGGGAAAGCACTTGCATTGTGACCCTCGACTGGCTCAGCATTAACAGGTGTGCCCAATGCAGTATATGGTGATGTTAACTCTGCAAAACCTGGTGGAATTATGCTGCCACTCAGTGGCTGGACTGAAGGAGATGTTAAGCCTATAACTGGTGCTGGGGTTGCTGGATTCCCCAGAATAAAAGAACTGTCAGACTTCTGCTGCCCATCAGTGGCCCCAAGTGTGGAATGAGAGATGGATCCTGTATTTAAAGGATGGCTGGAAGTTGTGGTTGGTCTCCTATCTGCCTGTGCAGGAAAACTGGTGGAGACTTGGGCTGAGGCAATGCTGTCACTGTGTAGTGTGTTCCCAGAACCAGGAAGCCCCATATAAAATCGGATGTACTCCTCCTTCCTGGAGACAAAGGTAGACTGCAAGATGACAGTTTTGGAAGGAGGGGTGGTATTCATGTCACTGGTGTCAATGGCAGGCTTGGATAACGATGCTGCAGAGGCACTGCTCACTAAAGTGGAGGTGTCTGGAGGAACCATGATAGGAAGGCTCAGGAAATCATGGGCACTGGGGAGAGAGGTTTTCTGCTGCGGCCCATCAGGGGCCCCAAATTTGGGTTGAGGGGTGGCTCCTGGATTTAAAGGATGGTTGGAAGCTGTAGCTGGTGCCCTGACTGACTGTGCAGGCAAACTGGTGGAGCCTTGGACTGAGGCAGTGTTGCCGCTGGGTTGTGTGTTCCCAGAACCAGGAAGCCCCAGGTAAAATGGGAGGTACTTCTTGGAGACAGAGGCAGACTGCAAGATGACAGCCTTGGAAGGAGGAGTGGTATGCATAGCATTGGTTTCAATGGGAGGTTTGGATGATGATGCTGTAGAGGCACTGTTCACTAAAGTGGAGGTGTCTGGAGGAGGAATGATGGGAAGGCTCAGGAAAACACAGGCACTGGGGAGAGAAGCTTTCTGCGGCTGCCCATCAGGAGCCTCAAATTTGGGCTGAGGGGTGGCTTCTTTTCCAAAGAGTTGGTTAAAACTTGGGGTGGTATTGTGGAATATAAATGGAAGTGGGGATGTGTAGACTGATGTCTTTCCCGGGTGCCTCTGCTCTGCACTGCAATGTATTTGGGAATTTGGGAGAGAGCTCACTCTGGAGCTTAGGGAAGATGTGAAAATAACAACCTGAGATGGGGCAGTAGTATCCATATTAACTACTTCAGGGTCTACCGCAGTCTGTGAGGTTAGGTGGGCAGATGCGTTTGTTGTGACAGTGGAAATGACTGACGTGGAATTCATAGGCTTGCTGGTGATAACTGAGGTCCCGGTGGAAGGGACTGGAAGAAGAGTCAGGAAGGAAAGAGGAGGAGGGGAATCCACACACATAGATATTGGGGACTCCCTTGTGACGGGAGGCTTGAAGGAGGGTGTGGAGCTAGGAGGTGTTGGGGGGTCAGAAGTGAGAGGCGCTGCTCCTACGACTGAATTATAAGAGCCTCCTTTCTCATTAGACTGATCACCCAAAATGGGAACAAGGTCAGCAGGAAGAGCCAGAGGAGAGTTAGGGATTGTGAATGCTATTTTCTCATCCATTTTTGGTGTGGTGGAAAGTGGAGGGATAGGCAGGATGAGGGGTCCAGTAGCCAGGTCAGCCAAGTCAGGGATGGGCAAAGGAGCTGAGACCTGGGAAGTGTAAGTGGTCAGGGGCAGGGAGTCTGTGGTCTGCACAGGTTGGGAGAAAGAAGGGGCAGGCTGGGTGATGCTGCTGTTTGTCATGGTCTCTGTTTTATCCTCCAAGATTCTGCTATTCCTTTTATACTCAGGGCTCTTCTCCAAGGTGTGTAGGTCTCCCTCAACAGACAGGCAGGGGAGCTTAGCAGGTGGGGGAAGCTCACCTCGATCCCACAGCAATGGCAGTGAAGGGGGCAGCGGCAGCAGCAATGGAATCGACATTTTCCTTTTGCAGGGCCTGTTGCGGGCAGCTCTGGGAGGAGCAGCGCTCCTTGGAGGAATACAGAAAGGCTTCTCATCAGGCATCCTCTTTCCGGACATCAGCGGAATCGGCAAGCCTAGGGAGCTGGGCGGTGGCTCTTCATTCAGCACTTCCGCAGCCAACTTCTGCTGCAGCAGGGAGCAGCCAACGGCTGGCTCAGGGGGCGCTGTTGCATCCGGATCAGGCTTTCCAAGATGCCGGGCACATCCGGCCTGGCTGTGTGTGCTGGGCATGGCAGGGCCTTCCAAGCAGGAGCTCGCTGGAGACGCCTGGGCCTTCTCACTCATGCTGTTTTCTGAGAACTTGTGGTAGACATTTCCCTCCAGAGGCCCAGGGCTGCATCTGAAGGAGGCCACGTCTCCCTGGGTGCCCTGGGACCTGGATGTGGACGATGCTTCTCCGCTGCTAAGGGGGGTCCTTTTCTCGTCATCCTCCCCTTCGATCTGCACCGGATCCTCATCCTTCTTCACTCTTCTGGGCCCTTCTTGGGCCCACACCTCGGTCTCCTCCAGGAGAGTGGCTGGGATGGGCTTCCTGGCCTTGACCGCCGGCTCACGTGGTGAAGGCAGCAGGAGAGTGAACATGCGGCTGGGAGGAGGGATCCTTACGGAACTGGGGTGTCCAAACCTCGGGGGGTTCCGAGCAGGCAGCATGGGTGTCTTCCTGATGGCCAGCCCCCAACCCACAGCCGGCAGGACCCCCAGAGGGGCGGCCGCAGCCCGAGGGAGAGGACACGGCCTCTTAGGGGCGACGAAGATGCTGGCTGCTGAAGGCCTGCGACGGGCGTTCCGGCGGAACAGGCCGCGGAAAGGGCGCGGGGTGGGTACAGAGTGAGCCCGACCGGGCGGGGAGGCGTCCCGGGACAGGGGAGCGGGGGCGCCACGCCCTGGCCCTGGCAGGGGCCGGCGGCGGCACCCGGGTCTAAATTTACTAAGTAAATTGCCCATTTAGAGCTAGCCGTGCCTCCTACCGTAAAACAGGGTCAGCAGTGGACTCAACTCTCCTCAGCCACCGCCTCCTCTGGCGACCAAGCACAAACTGACTGGCTCTACGCCTGCGACGCCGCCGCGAGGTTCCTCACAGAACCAGGGAGCGCCAGCGGGGGCGCAAAAGGCAGGGGTCAGAGGGCAAAGGGCGACGCCCCGTCGGCCCCAGCTGCCCCAGGACCCCCGGAAGCCCCGCTGCCGGTGGCAGGTGTTGCACCGCGTGGCCTCTATGAGGGAACTGCTGGGGCCTGCGGGCCCATCGCCAGAGCTCTTGTCACCTGGGCGCCGGCTCTGCCTGTTCCTTAGCCCTGGCCCGGCGCTGTTGCACGCAGTGGCCCTGTGTCGGCCGTCCCCATTCCCCGGTTCACAGAGGGCACATCTGCTTCAAGTTAAGCACAGGACAACCTATATCCTGCCAGCCTCCTCTAGGACCTTGGCAGTGCTCTGTGCTGCCTGGAGCCAGGTGTGCCGTCTCTGTGGCGCCAGGGTCACCAGCCAGGCCGTGAGGGTTTCCGAGGAGGGGACGTGGTGCCTTGTCCTGACTAGATGCTACGCCCTACCACATCTCTTCCTGGCAGGCAGGGCCTCTTCACTTCTTTTCACAAATTTGTTTTAAACAACATTTAAGGCTGGGCGCGGTGGCTCACGCCTTTAATCCCAGCACTTTGGGAGGCCAAGGCGGGTGGATCACCTGAGGTCAGGAGTTCGAGACCAGCCTGACCACCATGGTGAAACCCCATCTCTACTAAAAATACAAAAATTAACTGAGCGTGGTGGCACGCACTTGTAATCCCAGCTACTAGGGAGGCTGAGGCAGGAGAATCGCTTGAAAGCGGGAGGTGGAGGTTGCAGTGAGCTGAGATCACCTCACTGCACTCCAGCCTGGGGGAACAGAGCAAAACTCTTGTCTCAAACAAAAACAAAAACAAAAAACCACAACAAACAACAGCAACAACATTTAAGCCTTAGGCTGCTTGCTCCTTGGGTCATTGATATGACAGTGGCCTAGCCAGGCTTCGAACCTGGGCTGTGTGATTCCAGAGCTGGTGCCGTGGCCTGTGTGCCTCCTTGTTATGGACACATCATGTATTCTCATTATTTCCTGTAGTCCTTAGGGTACCTAGCACACAGCACATCTGTATTAAGCACATGCGTTCCTAGGGGGAAGCCCTTACTTCACCTCATAAGTTGGTCATGGCAGGCACTGGGCTCCAGTCTCCTCTGAAGACATGGGGCAGCGACCCCCAATAGTCAGCAAAGCAGCATCCCACACTGTTCTTCTAATTGAGCCTTGCAGCCCAGATTTCCTTTTTGGTCTAGTTTGAAGGATCTAAATATGTAAAGATTATAGTCCAGATCCATTTTGGCCTATCCCGAAAGAAATTCACCAGTGGATTAATCCAAATGGATAAGCCAGTTCTCTGGCCTTCTTGGAATATGTTAGAAAGCAAATTCATCATGTATTTGCAAGTCAGTAGTGGAGCAATGTATTCGATTAAAATATGATCAATACAATTTGGTCATTGTCCGCATGCCAGCAAGGCCCACTCTTTACCACACATTACTGTCACCTAAGTATAACTATCCATATTCTTATGCCCAAGGAAGGAGACTTAATATTGGTTTTTAGGACAAAGGAAATATGTGTTACTGTTTTAAGAGCTGGAAGTTTCAGCATGACAAGAAAGATTTGGAAAATCCTACACATGACCTTATCTAGTTTTAATCTTGTTTCTTTGGTTTATTTAACTGGACTGCTTTGCTCTCTTTGGGCTAATGTTGTGTGCCAGACATAGGACATGTGGAAGGTTCAGAACCAAGAATCAGAGATCAGTAAAAATATTTTAATGTATTTTTTAGTTTAAAAATCGATTTAAAATAACATCAAACCTAGTTAACATACTACAAAATCCTTTTTATCCCCCTGTTCATATATTTTATACTATGTCAGAGTAAATGTGGGCTTCCATACCCAACAAAGCTTATGTTTCTAGGACACAAAGTTTTGCTCAGACCCAAATTCTGTTTAAAAAGAGGAGACATATTATAAGTCCTTCCTAACCTCTCAGGGAACCGAGAAATTGTTTACAATTATGGCATTTAACTGTAATCTCTTGATATCATTTGAGGAGAGTTTAATAAAAAATAATCTCTTGATTTTATTTGTTTAAACAAAAAGAACAATCTGGTACAAGTTTTGGACAAAGATTTCCTACAAGAACTCTGAAACAAAATCAAATGTCAGGCTTATTTGAAAACAATAAATTACAGCATTTTCCCCCAAACAGGAAAAATGCATTAAACAAATAATGAATATTGGGGCTTCAGGACAATAAAAGGAAATTTGGACAAGGGTATTCCAGAAAAATCCACCTCTTTATTTTTCTTGTCAAATGGGAATAGATGCTTTTTTTGAATATAAAATCTTCCTTGTGTTTGTGAGGCAAAATAACATTAGATGGCAACTGATTATTCTGAGATCTTTTGACTTGGCAGACGCAAACATGTTGAGATGAAATTTGTCAAGGCAAAATATTTTCCAAAAATTTAATTTAATAATTATATAAATACTGTGATAATAGCAACAATTTATAGTTGCCAGGTGAGATTACTTGTAATTTAATAATTTTTTAAAGCACCAATCTCCAGTCATATCAAATGAATCTCTGGGTGGCTAGCTTTGTATAGAATTGTGGTAGTGACAATAAACCATACCTAGCACCCTATAGTTGAACACTTTCACCAACAACCCACTGTAAGTCATACAGAGTTAATGTGAGGACACACTGAATCCTTTGGACTTTATTGACTCATGAACCTCATTAAATGAACTTTTTTCCCTAAAATAATTTCAGTCTCCTCTCTCGTGAAGAAAAGTTATCTGAAAAAGGAATGTGGAGGAAAGAGACTTTATTCCAGTGAACTGTTTGCATCCTCTGTTGCAAAACAAAGGTGCATTCCAGAAAACAAAGGGAAGACTTGGGTTTTATAGCAAAAGTTCGCTGTCCAGGTTCCCACATAAGTTTCTTTAGGCAAATGAAGGTTTGAAACTGGCTTAGTTCTGGCCCACTGTGGTGGCTCACATCTGTAATCCCAGCAGTTTGGGAAGCCCAGGTGAATGGATCACTTGAGATCAGGAGTTTGAGACCAGCCGGGGCAACACAGTGAAACCCTGTCTCTACTAAAACTACAAAAATAAATAAATAAATAAATAAATTGGCTGGGTGTGGTGGTGCACACCTGTAATCCCAGCTACTTCACTGGGTGAGGCGGCAGAGGTTGCAGTGAGCCAAGATCATGCCAATGCACTCCAGCCTGGGTGACAGAGTGAGACTCTGTCTCAAAAAAAAAAAAAAAAAAAAAAAAAAAGAAAAAGAGAAAGAAAGACATTGGCTTAGTTCCAATTGGCCAGTGCAGGTATAAACTCTAGTCAGCAAATGGCTGCTGGGCTGTATTTTAAATTTACGCCCAGTTAGCCACACAGGATTGATTTAGAAGAATTGGCTCTTTCAGATTCACATTTGTCCACACTCTTCCGCCCTTTACTGTAACCAGGGCTCAGCAAGGACAGACAGACTTTGTGCTGCTACTTCTTAGAGTAGCCTTTCCTTGGTTGTTTCATCTATTTCCTCTCCAGTTAACTTTTTGCTTTTCAGAAATGTATCAACACCTTTCTGTGGTTGATGACTTCCACAATCTCTTGGCTTTCGTTGGTCTACTACATTTTGGTATTTGTATACTTTTATTTAAGTACAATTTCAGGAGGAACACAAAGTAAATATGTGTTCCTGGTCTGTCACCTTGAACTGAAAGTTCCTGTTCATTCTAGAAGCCAACCTTCCCATAGGAGAAAACTACCCTTAGTATTAACAGATGTAGCATTCAAGACTTTAATTTTTCTTGAGGAATCAATCACTAAGGATTTAGGATATGGTAATTTCTGTATGGGGAAATAGTACCTATCCCATGGAGTTGATTGGAAGATTAAATTACATAATCGATATAGAAATGCTTTGTAAAATTTTAATTTCTGTGAAAATGCTTTTTTGTTGCTATATAAATTTTATGATTTTTTTTATGTAAGACCGTGTTTTTTGGTTAACTGTTTTGAAAACCAAACTGCATTTTTCATTAGCTCAATGGAAATGAATGGCATTGTTTTTGAGGGTGGGGATGAAGCCATAGATATTTCTCGATATCTATTACTTCACAATATTTTCAGCAACTAATTTACTCATGTATTCCTCTTTCCAATTTTATTGAGGACCTACTTCCTCAAGAAAAGTCAGATGCTTTATTTCAGGTTTTGGCAAACATTTTCTAGGTTTTAAATATTTAAGTCTTTGTGGGCCAAATGCAGTTTCTTTAGCTCCTCTTCCTCCTCCTCTTTTACCTCCTCCCTTTTATTCTTCAGGAACACTTTTAAAATGTAATCATCATTATTCGCTCACAGGACATACAAAATGATCTGTGGGTCATTTTTGGCTAACCCCTGATCTATGTCTTTACTGAGTAGAAGGCACATCTTTGAGTAAATCGCTTGTTTGAATCAACCAATCTTTTTTTTTTTTTTTCTTTTTTGAGATGGAGTCTTGCTCTGTCATCCAGGCTAGAGTGCAGTGGCGCGATCTCGGCTTACTGCAACCTTCGCCTCCTGGATTCGATTCTCCTGCCTCAGCCTCCTGAGTAGCTGGGATTACAGGCACCTGCCACCATGCCCAGCTAATTTTTGTATTTTTAGTAGAGATGGGGCTTCACCATCTTGGCCAGGCTGGTTCCAACTCCTGACCTCAATGATCCACCCACCTTGGGCTCCCAAAGTGCTGGGATTACAGGTGTGAGCCAACGTGCCCAGCCTGGTCTCCCCAATCTTGTCCTTAATTTCCTACAGTCTCTAATCAAAATGATCTCCAAGAGAGATCCTGTTGAAACGTAAGTCAGATAATATCACCCAAGCCTCTTCAATGGCTTACTCAAAGCAAAAGCCAAAGTACTCAAAATGCTTCCAAAACCCTAGCAATCTGAGCTCTCCATTTCCTTTCTGACTTCATTTCCTTCTTTCCACTCTGATCCCTCTTTCCCCTACACAGTGACATCATCCTTTCTGTTACCTGAATACTATATGAACACTTTTGCCCATGGCTGTCCCATCTGACTGTTTTCTTTACCATTTCTTTTCTAACACTCATTTTCCAGACATACACATCATTGTTTCCTAGGATCCCATTATGTTTCTTCTTAAATTTCACCTTCCACATAATTTCACATTGCAACCCCCACACCAACTGACACTCTTCAACTCCCTTCCCTGCATTATATTTCTTTCTAGGACATATCTGATATACTGTTTATTTTACCTATTTATTTAAATTTAATTTACATGTGTACACTTATGTTTATGTATTTGCATATTCATTTGTTTACTCCCCCCCACCCAAATAGAAGGTAGGAATATTTACTTTTTCTTTTTCGCTAATATTCCTTGAATATACCTGTAAACCAGTACCTGACATTTAGTAGGGTATCAATAATTTTCTTGAATGAATTAAGGTGTGGGTTGATTAGTGAATTAATCCCTAGGGTTTCTGAATTGAAGATTTGTGTGAAGAGGAAGGCAGCATGGCTGGGACAGGGTACTGTGAGAAGCAGTATTTGGAGTTCTCTGATGTGTATCTTAATATATAGATTTTTGTTCATTTAAATAATTTTAACAGGGTAGTTGGGAACTAGTTTAGGGAGACACATCACAAAATTTTTGTAGTGGATTATGTAGGGTTCTTTTAAAGTATGTGTAAGTATTAAAATATATGCATGTGTATACACCTCTATTAATTTATTGAACGCTTTACAAGAGCCCTTTGAAGTAGCAAGTATCAGTATTCTTCATTTACAGATGAGCTTAACTTGCTCAAGGTTGTATCATAATTTAGTTATAAATGTAAAACTAAACTTTGAGTTTTTGAGCAGATCCTCCCTAGAAAGCTGTGACTTATTAATAAGATTCTGGTAACCCACAGAGATTTATTCAGCTTCCAACAATGTACAAACTACAGACTCAGTTATGGGTCATTCATTTTAATAAAGGGAAAAAGATTTATCCAGCACAAAACATAGAGAATATTAAATGTTATTCTCTATTAAGATAAGTAATGGGAATAGTAGGCTCCAGTCTTTCTAAAATAGCTGGAGACCATCATATCTGCATTATGGCCATGGGGATGTTCAGCCAGGCTGCCTTTCTCTGTCACTCAGAAGAATTCTGATATTATATAATTATACTTATTGAAACAGATAAGGGACATTGGGCAATTAAGATTTCTTCAGCTTGATTTTTCCAGAAGGCTTGCCTGTAAAATGAAGATAGTTGGTCTGAACACATTCAGGTATGTAGAGGTTGTTAGGATCTTACTTTTGGCAGTGAATAAAGTGAGCTTATTTTATCTCTGCAGCCTCCCATATACCTATGTCCAGCCTCTGTTTTGTGTTTGGAAATAACCAAGTATAAATTAAAAATCAAGGTAACTAAAACAAATTATTTATTGATGTATATAAGCATGCAGAACTAAATGTGATCTAGTTTAAATATTTATTTAGTGTTGTATGTTTGGGAGGAGCCTTCAAGGTATCAGAAAATGAAATTTAACTATCCTGTTGTAAACTACAGTACACACACACATTGAATTACCAGTTCTGCTCACCTATAGAATCATCTTCAGGTGCTACACATTCCTATGTACCTGGTATGTATCATTTAGCTTTCACAATTTTTCAATTACTTCTTAATACTCAGTATTCCAATTTCAATCTTGCCAGGACCTGCACCAGTTATGTAGAAGACAAGAATTTTATTTTCTGTTTATTTATCTGTGTTCAGAACCCAATGAAAGAACAATAAAGTGGGATTGAGGATATCTAGGTTCTTGTTCCAGATCTATCAAAAAATAATTGTGTCCCCTTGAGAAAGTCATAGTCATTTTGGGGTCCCTTTACTTCTCTTTGTTTTGACAGAGTCCTACTTGACTCAAAAAATACTTGATTCTTCGTAGTAGTCGTTTTTATGTCATTGGTATTGTAGTAGTTGTTTATATGTCATTGGTATTCTAAAACAAATAAAGACAATTACATATGAAGCTGTGTAGCATCTCTTTAACTATGTCTTTAGAGCTTCCTCCATTTTATAGAAGATAAAATGGCAGAGATAGAGCAGAAGTGGATGGTTCGACTGGGGGTCCAAAATAGATGGAACTAAAACATATTTCCTTCATTTCTTGAGCTCATTTAGCTAACACATAGCCTGTTGTATATTAAATTGCATTTTAAAGGTGGGCTATTCTTACAGGTCTTCCAACAAATAGCAGAACATATTGAAATTCTTAAAAGATCACCTAACCTTGTGAGATTTACAGCTGTATTTTCATGTAAAGCAAGTTGTATAAATGCCAAGTAATCACCTGAACTTCTAGATACTTCTCAGAACTAAAGTTCTGAACCTCTTGAGGTTTGCTTCTTGCTATCTGAAGTTTATACCAGATGGCAAGGAGCAAACCAAGGAGAAAATAGAAAATTTCTATTTCAAAATAGAAAAGTGGTTAACTGGATTTTAATACCAAATAAGCATTTATATATTTACTTATGATACATGAATTTATTGTACCTATTAATCACTTTATCTGTGGGAAATGCAAAACTATTTGATACATAGGCTGCTTGATTTATCTATTTTCCCAAAAAGACTGTGACTTTCTGAGGAGGAATTATATTTCACTATCATCTATAAACAGAACCTAACACAATGTCTAGGAAACAGTCAATAAATATACAATAGATTAATTAGCAGATAGACATGACTTTTCTTCCAGAGGAACACATTCTTAAGAAAGTGCCAAGACATGAACAAATAGAAGAAATTATTTCTAGTTACAAAGTGGCAACTGACATATAAGTGATACAAACAAGAAATACTATACTAATTCAAAGGAGGCATAAAAGCGCTTATGGGATTTTCATAAGATAAGCCATTTGAATAAGGGAGAGATGGCTTGTGAGTTAATCAGGGGAGAAGTCACAGAAAACCTAGCTTTTGGTCTAAGCTTGAGTTTAAATCAAAATTGTAATGTGATTATATTACAGGTGAAGGTAATGGGATAAACTCACTACCCTAAGACTTGCAGAGCTTAAGATGGTTGTCCAAGATCCAAAAACGAATACATTGTGGACCAGAATTCCAATGAAGTCCTGATGAACTCTAAACTCCAAGATTTTTCTGTGTTATTACGTTGCGTTTAACAATAAGTTTTTGGTGGTATCATAGAAACTGTCTTTAGAATGTGGGTGAAAAATAATGGCATTGAAGAATGAATGGTCTTTGTCCTATTATCAATGAATGTGAAGAACACATTAAAAGGTTCAATGAAAGGACTAATCAACAAGAGTGACATTAACAAAATGTCAGACTAGGAAGCTCCAAGCTCTGGAAACGCCAAAAACACCAAAGAAGGAAACAGAAACTGGCTCTACTAACCTTATAGAAACTCCGGAAAATAGTCAAAGTTTTTAGCAAACAAACACATTCTGAATCAGGAAAAAGCCACCTTCAAATGGTAAGAAATGTTGTGTTACTTTCACTTGGCTTTGCCCAAATTCCCATCTCCCTTCTCGTGTATCATGGTCTTGGCCTGGGAGAGATGACAGCCCAGTTACCAGTCCCCTCACCCCAACCTGCAGAAGAGAATATTTTATTTGCAATGTTCTAACCTCTCTGGGTGCTGCTTGAAGGATTGACTTCTATTTCTCCTAACTCAGATTTCAGGTGGAAAAAATGTCAGCTTTCTGCTTGTCAAAGCTACAGGGAGACTACAGACCTGATGCCTGGGATAAAGATTACAGGTGGAAATATGCAATAGACCATCTAAGACCCAGAGGGGAATCAAGGGTCAGACTTTTTGGAAAATTAAGACATTCAATGGAAGCCATGTATATGGGAGAGTTGAGAAGGCCACTTTCAGGCCCAGGAAAGATGCATACTCAGAAAAGACCTAAGAAGACCTTAAATTTTCATGTATGGATGTCCCTAGGCTCAGAGGAAGTCCAGCTAATGGGCGAAGGACTGCCCTGCACAGAGCCAGTCTGCAAAAATAGGAGATGTGTCTATTTTTCAAATGTCCAGTTTTCTTTTTCTTTTTTTTTTTTTTTTTTTTTGAGACAGACTCTCGGTCTGTCTCCCAGGCTGGAGTGCAGTGGTGCGATCTCGGCTCACTGCAAGCTCTGCCTCCTGGGTTTAAGCAATTCTCCACCTCAGCCTCCAAGTAGTTGGGACTGCAGGCACCCACCACCAAGCCCGACTAATTCTTTTTGTATTTTTTAGTAGAGACAGAGTTTCACCATGTGGGCCAGGCTGGTCTTGAACTCCTGACCTCAGGTGATCCGCCCACCTCGGCCTCCCAAAGTGCTGGGATTATAGGCATGAGCCACCATGCCCAGCCAAATGTCCAATTTTCAACTATGACATATCACAAAGCACATAAAGAAACAGAAAAACATGACCTAATTAAAGGAACCAAATTAACTGACTGAAACCATTCCTGAGGAGTCCAGAAAAAAAGGATGAAGTAAGTGAACAGAGCTTAAGGTAAATGTGGGACACCATCAAAGGGACCTATATGCATTATGAGAGTTCAGGAAGGCAAAGAAAGAGAACAAAGGCCAAAGGGAATATTTAAAGAAATTATGCCTAAAAACGTCCAAATTTGATGAAAGATGTTAATCTATAAATCCAGTAAGCTCAATGAACTCCAAGACAGAGCCAATGACACTTACACACAAACACATTATTACCAAACTGCTGAAAGACAAAAAACAAAGAGAGACTCTTGAAAGCAGCAACAAAGAAGCAACTCCTCATGCATAGGTCATTGTCAGTAAGATTATCAACCAGCTTATCAGACAGCAACTTTGGAATCCAGAGTTGGTAGGATGATATATTTAAAGTGTTAAAAGGAAAAAAAAAACCTGTCAACTGAGAATTCTATACCTACCACAAATGTCCACCATGATGAGGAGAAAACTAAGACATTTTCAGACAAGAAAAAGCTAAAGGATTCATTATCACTGATCTTCTTTAGAAGAAATGGTAAAGGCAGTCTTTCAGATTGAAATGGAAGGATGCTATACAGTAACTCAAAGCCAGCCTTTCTCAGACTCTTCTAAAAAGTTGAAGAGGGAGGAAATAACTTTTTAGCTTATCCTGTGAGGCCAGCATTACCCTGATGCTGAAGCCAGACAAATATAATATGGGAAAAAAAATACAGGTCAATATCTCTTATGAAGATTGATGTACAAACAAACAAAATTCAACAAAATATGAACAAAGTGAATTCAGCCACATATTAGAAGGTTTATGCCCTATAACTGTCATATTTCTGTGGCTAGCTGCATTTTAGGATGGCAAATAGAAGTGTGATTTTCACATTGGATTTGATTGAATTAATGCATTTTCTCATCCATTTCAGAGAGTTCAGGGACTTAAATCTAGGTTGCTCACCAGCAGTCCAAGGAGGCACCCAAATGAGTAGCTACATGAAATGAGAGCAGTGATATCCTGGTAAACTTCTGATCCGTTTTTTCTGAAGGAGATAGCCATACTTCATTGGCTACAGGCTTAAAGGCATAGTTCAATTAATTAAAAGAGTCAAAAGCAGGGGATTGTTTTAAAAATTTTATTTTCATTTTTAATGTTGCTTCCTTGTAAAGGGAGTTTGACTAGTATACTTTTTGACCTCTAATCCTGGGTAGATGAAATGGCCTGACTAGAAAGTTGGAATGAACAATTGGCCATGCTTTGTTCTGCTCTTATTTTCTTCATCTTAGGAGTAAGCCTTCCTATAGAGACAAAAGTCTCTGCTCCTCCATGCTACATAGGCATGTGTCTTTTATGGGCATGCCTCTTTCCCATGGGCCTGTCTAGAAGCAACTGGCTGCAACAGAGTGGGCAAGTCTGTATAATTCTGGAGTTGAGCTAGCAGACTCATTTGTCTGTCTCATTAAACCATATTTTCCAACATGGGCTCTATCAATGACAAGGTGACAATCAGGGCTGGCTAGAATGGGTAAAGCCTAGGGAAAATGAAAATTCAGGGTGCCTTGTTCAAAATATAAGGAAAAAATGCTGTTAAAGGCATTTTCACTGAGTTGAATAGCATTTCTGCAAATTAATGTTCACCTGGAATGTGTGAATGTAACCTTATCTGGAAATAGAGTTAGTATTTTTTTCTAGATATAATCAAGTTAAGATGAAGTTGTCCTGGGTTAGGGTGCAAGAACTAACGACTTCTATTCTTAAAAGGAGAAAGAGATTTGGAAACAAACATACAAAGAGAGGGAAGATAGCCATGTGATGATGGAGGCAGAGAGTGAAGTGATGCAGATGTGCTGTCAAAGAATGCCAAGGGTTGTTGACAACCATCAGAAACCAAAAGAAGCAAGGAATGATGCTTCCTCAGAGCCTTTGGAGAGAACAAGACCCTGCCAACATATTGATTTTCAGACTTTTATCCTCCAGAATTGTAAAAGAATCAATTTATGTTGGTTATACCATACAGTTTGTGGTACAGTTGGTCCTTCATATCTACAGGTTCCACATCCATGCATTCGACCAACTGGAAGTCTAAAATAACAATACAATGAAAAATAATACAAATGAAAAAATACAGTGTAACTTCTATTTACAATGCATTTGTATTGTATTTGGTATTACAAGTAATCTAAAGTTGATTTTAAGTATACAGGAGAATGTATGTGGGTTATATGTAAATACTAAGCCATTCTATATAAAGGACTTGAGCATTTGCGGACTTTGGTATTCACAGGGGTTCTGGAACCGATTCCCATCAGATACCGAGGGACTGCTATATTTTATTATGGAAGCCCTAAGAAAGTAGTACAGTACTAACAAATGAAGAGCCAGATGTGGTGGCATACACCTGGAGTCCCAGCTACTTGGGAGGCTGAGGTGGGAGGATTGCTTGAACCTAGGAGCTTGAGGCTGCACTAAGCCATGATTGTGCCACTGCACTCCAACCTGGACAACAGAAAGAGAGAGACTCTGTCTCTAAAAATAAGTAACTAAGTAAATAAATAAATAAAACATGAAGCTTTTTCTTTTTTTCTGTAGTCTCTCTACTTTCATAGTTTTTTAAAAATTTGCTATTTAATATTTTTAAGTAAATAAAAAGTATAATGTAAAGTTATTAGCATTAATTTTAGCATTCCTTTTTATAACAAGAGTGCTAGTTTTACATGTAAATATAAGAACATTTATCTGATATGCAAAATTTCCAAAAAGTCTCACAATTTCTGTTTTGTAGCTTGTATATGCACATGTATTTTTTTTTTCATTTGTTTAAACATCGCAGTAGAAATGCTGTACAAAAATAATTCAACTGTTTTTATGTCACTTCTTAATATGCACACATTCTACCCAAACTTTCTTTCTTCAGCTGACTGATGAGTAGGAAGGGACTAAAAGGAAAAGTGGGTTTCTCACTTTTTCCCTTTTTTATGTCATCAATTTCAGCATAAGTGGTGGCTAATACTGGAAAATGACACAAATAAGAAAGAATGTAATGAAGAGTGGCCTCTTGGAGCTGTCAACACCTTCACTTACTCACTCATAGATGACTAGTTGACGATTACACCCCTGAGAGTTTCTTATAGTTAATTTTAAGTCTCATATTCATTGCAGTTAAGGATTTTAGGCACTGCAATTAAGGATTTTAATAGAAAAAAAGTAGACTCATCTGTTTTGGAACAAAGTTTATCAGTTTGACCTTTGGACCACCTGCATCAGGCTTATTCTCTTTAGACATTGAATGCCCTTTCCCCAACTAAGTTGTACACTTCTTAAAGTCAGGACTAACTTTTATAGCTCTTGTTTTCCCCTCAGTATCTAACTAGAAGATGCCTTCTATCAACATGTGTAGATTTATTTTAAGTAACATAAGTACAAGTGTGTTCCCATTTCTCTCTGGGAAATGAGGCTAAATTCCACAACATTCAAAGATCAAGCCCTTAAATTTCTTTGAACCTAATGATTTACAAATGGGTAGCATATCTTCCCTCCTGCTTCACCACACTCTAAGATGGTTCTTTCTAAATATGGTCATTAATTATTAAGTGCAAAGAAATCATGAGCTAAAAAAAAGAAATTGCTTACCAAAAGAACTTTCATATCTTTCACTTTCACTTCATTGCATACCATATTTAAAAAGCCCACTCAAAATGGATAAAAACTTAAACAAAATACATGGAACTGTAAAGCTAATAGAATAAAACATAGGGGAAAATCTTCATCACATTGGTTTGGGCAATTAGTTTCTGCATATGAGCTCAATAACATGGGTAATAATAGCAAAAATAGACAAATGGAACTGCATCAAACTAAAGACTCTGCACAGCACAGGAAAAAATTAACAGTGAAGAGACAACGTACAGACTGAGACAAGAACAACTCAATAACAAAGAAGGCAAACCAACAAAAAAATTCCAATGATCTGAAAAGACATTTCTCAAAAGAAAACATACAAATGGTGAAAATGAATATTAAAAATTCTCAACAACTCTGATCATCAGGAAAATGCAAATTAAAACCACAATGAGATATCATCTCACACCAGTTATAATGGCTATTTTCAAAAAGACAAATGCTAACCAGTGTTGGCAAGGATGTGGAGAAAAGGGAACACTTGTACACTGTTGCTGGGGAAGTAAATGATATTTGGAAAAATGGTATAGGAGTTCCTCAAAAACTAAATAGTAAAATTACCATATGATCCAACAATCTTACTTCTGGGTATATATCCAAAAGATTTGAAATTGGTACGTGGGAGAGATATCTGCATTCCCACGTTCATTTCCGCATTATTCATAACAGTGAAAACATGGGAGCACCTAAATGTCCATCAATTGAATAAAGAAAATAAAAACTAAACAAAATTTAATAAAGAAATACTATTTTGCCTCTTAAATGAAGGACATTTAGTCATTCATGACAAGGATGGAATTGAAGGATGTTATACTAAGCGAAATATGTCAGGTCCAGGAAAACAAATAATGTATGATGTCATTTATTTGTAGAAACCAATAAAAGCTAATCTCATAGGAACAGAGAGTATAAATAAAGGTGATTACCAGAGGCTGGGGAGTCTGGCAAGGGACAAAGAATGGGGAGATGTTGATCAGAGTGGAATGTTTCAGTTAGACTGGAGAAATAAGTTTTGATGATCTATTGCGCTACATGGTAACCACTATTGATGAAAGTGTATTATATATTCCAAAACTGCCAAAAGCATAGGCTTTTTAATGTTCTCATTGTACTAAAAAATAAGTTGGTGAGGTAATTGAAATGTTATTTAGCTTGTTAAATCTTTCTGCAGTTGTGCATAGATCAGAGCATCACACTGCACTTTATAAATATACACAATTATTTGTCAGTAGAAAAAAAGAAAATGGTGCATACTAGGCATGGGAAGGAAATCTACACAGTTAGCCAGGAGCATCACATAGTGCCAGAAAGTAAGAAAATGCTAATCAACAACACAACCAACCAAACAAAAAAAACTAATTGCAATGGTGTGGATGTTTCCGAATGAAACAGGAGTCTGCTGAAACTCTTTCCAGTGGTCAAACTGGAACAATTCGAGGATGAAAATAAACAAAATAGTATAAGTAAAGTTTAAAATAAATACCCATAATGCAGTGATATAAATAAATGAGTGAATGAATATACAATAAATAGAGGCAGACAAACTGTCCATGCTGCAAGATTCCCAGTAATTTTTATAGATTCTCTGCCTGTGAGGACATAGATGATGACTCCCCACTTATTAACTATGTGCTACCCAGTGACTTCGTTTCAAAAAATGTAACATGGAAAGGGAAAACAGAATAATTTTATAGTGGAGAAGTCTAACAAAGGGATCAAATTAACAATTAGCATGAACAGCAACATGTTCACAGTGTGTGCCCTTATGTGATGTGATGAGAATGGCACTTTCTCTCTGTGATTTTCCTCCCCAGAACCCTTAACTCCAGTCTAATCATGAGGAAAATATTAAATAAATTTCAAACGAGATATGCTAATATTATGAAAAACAAGGAAAGTCTGAGAAACTGTTACAGCCCAAGGAGCCTAAGCAGACATGACATCTAAATGTGATCTTGTATATTGGATGGGAACCCAGAACAGAAAATGGAAAAAAGTGAAAACTAAGAAAATTGGAATGTAGATGTTTGTAAATGATAATGTGTAACATTGGTTTGCTAATTGTGGTAAACGAGACACACTAATGAAAGAAGTTCATATTAAGGGAAATTTGTGTCAAGTATATGGAAATTCTTTGTACTATCTCTGCTACTAGTCTTTAAATCCCAAACCACTCTAAAATAAAAGTTTCTTTTTGTTAAAATCACAGCTGAGATGAATAGATCATTAGCAATGCTGTTTACACTCCATGAATGCATCTCCCTAATTCCATCCTCTTTATACTCTGATGGGAACTAGTGTTTTGAATTCCCTACTTATCATTCCCTTATTTGTCATTATCTTTCTCTATGAGTCTGTATTTCTAAATAATATATCATGTTGGTTTTCTTATTTTCCATCTTAGATAAACATAAGTGTCTAATTTAATCCATATCTCTAGTCTAATCATGAGAAATCATCAAACAAACTTATATTGTGAGAAATTATACAAAATGCCTGACTGGTACTTTTCAAAAAGGTCAAGATCCTGAAAAATAAGTGAAGACTGAAAAACTGTTGCAGATTGGAGAAGACCTGATGTGTCAGGTAGACCCTAGGATGGAGCCTGATTACCCCCACCTCTTCGTGTACACAACCTGGTGTTGTAATCCCCTCCCAGTGACTGTGGTCAGGCAATGTGGCTTGGTTATAAACAGTAGAATACTACAACGTGATGGGATGTCACTTAGGTGATTACGTCACATAGATTGTGGTTTCTATCTTGCTAGTAAACTCTCTCTCTCCCTAACGGCCTTGGTGAAGCATGCTGCCGTGTGAGAGAAGCCGATGGGGAAGGATTGAGCGCAGTCTCTGGCCAATAGCAAGCAAGGAACTGAGGCCTTTGGTGGAACAGCCTGCCCTAGACTTTGCAATATGCATTTACAATGAATCTAAGCCCCCTTTTAAATAACAGTGTATAATTTCACAGATAATGTGATTATAAGAAAATAATCTTATTTCCTTCCTCCAGTCCATTTTGTTATTGCTGTAAAAAACAAGGGCAACAAACAGAAAAGAGGAAAATAAGGTAGATATTAATCTAACTATTTCAATGAGCATTCTAAATGCCAATGGTGTAACTGCAAAATTTAAAATAGAAACTTCCAGAGCAGATGAAAAAAAAAAAAAACATTATATGTTGTATATGATACAAACATATTAAATATAATGACCTATAAATTAAAAGTAAATAGATCTAAAAAACCCTAACAAAACTGTTAATGCTAACAGTAATTAAAAGAAAGCAGGAGTAGCCATATGAATTTCACAACGAGCTGACTTCAAAGCACACCAAGTTATCACAGATGAAGAAGGGCATTACATAAAGATAGATTAATTCTCCAACACGATACAACAAGCCTTAAAATCTAAATGCCTAAAAACAGAGTGTCAAACTATGTGAGGCAGAAACTGATAGAACTGGATGGAAAAATAGATAAAAAATTATTGTTGAAGACTTTGACACTCTTTGTCAGAAATGGCCAAATCCCAAAGGCAGATTTTCAGTAAAGACCTAGTGAAACTGGACAGCACCATCAATCAAGTGGACATAATTGACATCTATAAACTACATCATCCAACAATGGACAGTGTACACATTCTTCTCAAGCCATTAGGGGACATTCAGCAAGATAGACCACATTCTCTTAGATAAAACATACCCTAACAACTTAAAAAGAACAGGAATTATGCAACATCTGCTCTCAGACAACAAAGTAATTAAACTAGAAATCAGTAACAGAAAGGTAACAGAAAAATCCTAACATACAAGGAACTTAAATAATAAAACTTTGGAGTAACCTATGGTCAAAGAAGAAACCTTAGCAAAAAATTAAATATATTTTGAACAAACTTTAAATGAAAACAAAACTTATCAAAATGTATGAAACACAAGAGAATTTAGTGGAAAATTTATGGCATTGAGAGTTATATATTAAAAATAAAGCCAGGCATGGTGGCTCACACCTGCAATCCCAGCACTTTGGGAGGCCAAGGCAGGAGGATCACTTGAAGTCAGGAGTTCAAGACCAGCCTGACCAACATGGCAAAGTCCTGTCTTTACTAAACATACAAAAAATAGCCTGGCATGGTGGCAGGCACCTGTAATTCCAGCTACATGGGAGGCTGAGGAAGGAGAATCATTTGAACCTGGGAGTGGGAGGTTGCAGTGAGCCAAGACTGCACCACTGCACTCCAGTTTGGGAGAAAGAGTGAGACCCCATCTCAAAGACAAAATAAAATAAGTAAAAACAAAGAAATATAAAAATCAATTATCTAAACATCTTACTTACAAACCTGAAAAAAGTACAAATTAAATACAAGGTAAGCAGAACAAAAGATATGATATTTTACAGGTAAAGAACAAAGTAAAAGGTAATGGGACTGAATTTTTCAAATGAATATGTGGCTTAGTTTCCAAAACATAGAAGTTTCCAAAATTAACAGGAAAAACAGAACCCCAAATAAAATCCCTGCTTAAGGACATGAAGTGGTGACTCTCTCCTAAAATGAGGGGATACTAATCTTAAGAAATGATTAACCAAAGACATACAAAGGGGGTAATTTCATTTGCTTAATAAGCCAGCAAATACTTCAACTATGAATAATTCACCAGTAAAAAATGTAGGCAAGTAGGCTCTGTGCCATGGCTCATGCCTATAATCCTAACGCTTTGGAAGTCCAAGGCAGGTGGATGGCTTGAGCCTACGAGTTCGAGACCAGCCTGAGCAACATGGTGAAACCCTGTCTCTACAAAAAAAAAAAAAAAAAAAAAAAAAAAAAAAAATTAGTTGGGTGTGGCACACACTTGTAGTCACAGCTACTTGGGAACCTGAGGTGGGAGAGCCACCTGAGCTTGGAAAGTCAAGGCTTCAGTGAGCCATGATTTTGCCACTGTACTCTAACCTGGGCAACAAGAATGAGACCCTATCTCAAATAAAAAAATAAAAAATAAAGAAATTTAGAAAAATAACTATTACTATATGCAAAATGCAAAAGGGTAGAAAGAATAAAATCAAAATACATGTCACACTCTGAGAAACACAAAAATCATGACGTTTGTATGAGTATGAAAGAAAACATAAGAAGACACACAGACACAGATGTGTGAACAACATGTGTGTTCCTTGAAAATATCTCCCCTGCATTATCACCCAGTCCCTCCATGGTCTGCCCTTTCTGCTCAGACCTTCTCACATATGACTGATCCCAGCAGTCCTTCCAGTCCACCGCCCTCTTCTCATGCCCTGGCCTGTGCATTGATACACCTTTTCCTCTTCCCTTTCCCTCCCCTGTCTGCTGGACTCACTGCTCCTCACTCTCCAGAATTTCCTCCAATGCTTCTCCTTCTAGAGGTCTCCCTTGTCCATCCCATGCCAGGCCTGAAACCTGTCCTTTTCATTCCCAAGGGCAGTTCTTCCACCTGTAGTTTAGATTTCTGTTAAGTTTCCTGAATCCCCACCAGACCAGAATATCAAAGAAAATTGAAACTTTGTCTGTGTTGCTCCCTGTGAGCCCAAAATGTGTGGTGAACAAAGATCAACAGAGAATATTTACCTTTATTTGAAATTTTGCAAATGCATTCATGAATCTCTCAAACTCCTCACCCATATTCTTGTCTACTTTCCAATAAATTCCAAGTCTCTTCCTATCTGAAAAAATTTTGAACTTGAAGATGAGCCTGTTTCTTTTACTCCCTTCTGTTCTCAGGAAAGGATATGAATCCTGACCTCCCCCCGCCCACCTCTTCTTCAGCCTGCCCATCCTTGATCCACTGTAGAGACCCTCTCATGGGCCCAGCTGCTTCTACCTCATCTGAACCTCTTTTTTTCTTTTGAACAGTTTTGTCCCCTTGACTAAGAAAGGTCTTGTTCTTTGAGAGTCAGGTATATTAACATGGCTCAATTGATAAACATTTCCAAATACATTTTAGTTACATACTCAAATTTTACGAACTTTGTATGTAATCTTTAAATTTTTAATCACAATTACTGTTAGTCTGGTGGCAACCAAAACATAGTTTACATTGCACACAGATGAACTAGTCCTGAAATCTTCTGTTGTCACTTTATGTTACATAAGATTACCAGTATAAAAACATGCAGAATGTGTGTCAACAGGAAAGGCGGAAATCACACAGACAATAATGCAGCCTTTTAAAAAACTTTTATTTTAAGTTCAGGGGTACAAGTGCAGGATAGTTACATAGGTAAACTTGTGGTCGTGAATATTTTTTGTACAGATTATTTCATCACCCAGGTATTCAGCCTAGTACCTATTAGATATTTTTTCTGATCCTCTCCCTCCTCCTACCTTCCACCCTCCCATAGGCCTCAGTGTGTGTTGTTCTCCTCTATATGTCCATGTGTTCTCATCACTTAGCTCCTACTCATAAGTGAGAACATGCGGTATTTGTTTTTCTGTTCCTGCATTATTTTGCGAAGGATAATGGCCTCCAGCTCCATCCATGTTCCCGAAAAAGACATGATCTCATTGTTTGTTATGACTGTATAGTATTCTATGGTGTATATGTACCACATTTTCTTCATCCAGTCTATTATTGATGGGCATTTAGATTGATTCCTTGTCTTCGCTATTGTAAATAGTGCTGCAATGAACATGCATGGTCGCAGCCTTTTTAATGAAGAAATGTTTTATTGCCATGAGTCTTCTCGCCTCAGAAGGTAATGTCTTAAGATATTCATATCTCTGTGTCAAAATCTAATTAACAACTAGAATCAGAATGTCAAGATATTTGTGAATTCATTTAGGGATATTTTCAATGTTGCTTTCATCTTTATGTGAATAAAAATCATGCCTTTATAATTCTAGGAGGGTTTTTCAGTAAGTATAAAATGAAGCTATTATGTGTAATAGTCTAATTGACAGTGATATCTTCTTTTCCTTTAGATACATCTAAATTTTTGATTCAATGATATGTAGAGACGTCCTCCATCAAGACTCCTACAGGCACTGTGCATAGATTGATTCTAACTTTACCTTTAGGGTTACAAATGTGAGTTTATTGATTTATCTTTCTCTGTGGGTTCCATTCATAATGTTTCATATTCACCTTAATACTGTCATCTGGAAGCATACAGCCAAGAGTATATCAAGCCATTCTCCACATTCAGTGGTAAAATTGAGAGAGAGTAATCATGCCAGCTCTCATACAGGTGGGGTTGCAATTACTCCACCAACACATAGTTTACAGAACTTCGGAAATACTCCAGAAACAAAAGGCAAAGACCCCAGGAGAACCTATTTGAGTAAACTTGACCTTGAATCCTTCATCTTATTCCTGTCTGCAAAAAGACAGATGCTTTTACATAGCATGGCTGTCTTGCAACAAGCCCAAGGATGAGTGGTCATTCATTAGAGTTGTCAGAAATGACATGTATATATAGACTGAACCACCTCATATGACCCTCTCCTGGGTTTTCTATGTTATTTTGTTATATGTGGCCAATAAACTGAATATAATATGAAATAATGCAAGTAGAGCTTTTTATTTATACGAGAAGAACACAATCATTATCAAAAGAAGAAGATAATGTTAATGTATATCTACTCTGTTTGCTTCCCTGGTAAACATCCAGTTTGCTTTAATTCAAGAATCATCTTGCTTCTGTCCTTCACTATGTACATTCCACAGGCTGTTTTATTTGCATGGAGTATATTGCTCTTCATATTCGGTAAAATTTTGGTTAATGGTGCCTGGTTCTAATGCAATCACAATGTATAGGCAAAACATGTGTTCTTGACCAAGATCTGGCCTTGAAATTATCTTGATACAGTGTTAAATCACAGAACTCCTCATTACAGCTGTAGCTGGCAAAACAAAAGCTACTCTGTTAATTTGGAGTAAAAACATCCATAAACTATCAGTTGTCTTGCTCTATTGGTTTCTAACATCTCATAAATCATGAACAAATGCAGCCACTTGAGTAGAATTTTTAGGCTATTTGATTGAAGATTTTATTATTTGTATAGCATATATATGCTCTTGAGTCTCAGAGACCCCCCTCTGTAGAAATGCTTCATTCAAAAGAAAATATGTGCTTCTCAACACTGTCCTGTTGGCATTAGGGCCCTCCACACTGTGGGCAAATTCTCATCTGCTGTGGAGTCCTGAATTATGTATACCCTCTTCTTGCTGTTGTGTCTTCGTGGTTTCAGGTGAGGAAAACACTGTTCAACTTAGGGCGAGGAATGCCATCTTCACTAGCCAGGACACTCAGCCATCTATTCACATATAGACTGTGTCAGACAAGTGTCAAAGGTCCAGCCTAAGACAATGAACATCAACAGATTGGCTAAAATAATAGGCAGGTGGGTAAATTATTGACTTAGTAAAGGTAAATAAAAAGATAAAAAAGCATAAAAAGTCACAAATTTTAAAATATTATGCTAGTTTATAAGAAAAAAATAAGATTGCAATTCCCTTTCTACAAGACCACATGACAAAAATATTGGCTCTCTGGAAATGGAAGTACACATTTCCTGAGTGGCATTTATTATTTCAGTGAAAGCCAAAAACAATTTTATTAATCACTAATAAAAAAGTAGGAAAATAATACATATGTGTATTATATGTTAACTGTACAAGTAAATGTCATATAGATTTTTTTTAAAATAAGGTATATAGAATCATGGACTTCAGCCAATGTCTATAGCTCTTCAGGAAGAAATAAATCAAATATGGTAAAGTTCATACTTGCATATAATAAAATGGCTGGTCTCTGAATTCAGGATGTGAGTTTTAGTTTTTCTGTAGCCTTTCTCATAATTTTAATTGATTGATTTTGGTTTTTTTTTCTAATATTTGTCTTTTGGTTCGGGGTATATATGCAGGTTGGTTACATGAATAATTGCTTGTCATTGGGTTTGTTGAGCAAATGATTTCATCACCCAGGTAGTCAGCATAGTACTTGATAGTTTTTTTGATTCTCACCCTCTTCCCATCCTCCAACCTCAACTAAGCTCCAATGTCTTAGTTATTCCCTCTTTGTGTCAATGTGTAGTCCATGTTTAGCTCCCAATTATAAGTGACAACATGTGGTATTTGGTTTTCTGTTTCTGCATTAGTTTGCTTAGGATAATGACCTCAAGGTGCATCCATGTTGCTGCAAAGGATATGATCTCCTTCACTTTATGGCTGCATAGTATTCCATGGTGTATACGTACCACATTTTCTTTAACAGGTCCAACATAGATGGGCACCTAGGTTGATTCCATGTCACTGCTATTGTAAATAGTGCTGCAATGAATATAAGCATGCATGTGTCTTTATGGTAGAACTATTTATATTCCTGTGGGTATACAGCCAGTAATGGGATTGTTGGGTCAAATGGTAGTTCTAAGTTCTTTGTGAAATCTGCGAACTGTTTTTCACAGTGGTTAAAATAACTTATATTCCCAGCAGCAGTGTATAAGTGTTTCTTATCCTCCATAGCCTCACCAGCATCTGCAATTTTTGACTTGAATAATAGCCATTCTGACTTGTGTGAGATAGTATTTCATCGTGGTTCTCATTTGCATTTCTCTAACAATTAGTGATGTTGAGCATTTTTTTCATATGCACTTTTCCCTCTTCTTTTTCTCTCCCCTGTTTGCTTGATTCATTCTTCAGAATCTCCTCCATTGTTCCTTTTCCTGGAGGCCTTCCTTGTCCCTTCCATCACAAGTCTGATGCCTGTCCTCTCAGCTCCCAAGGGAAGCTCTTCCACCTATGGTTTAGCTTTCAGTTACGTTTTCTGAACCCTCACCAGACTGAAATATCAGAGAATATGAAAAGGTTGTGTGTGTTGTCCCCCTGTAGTGGACAAATAGCAACACAGAAGATTCACCTTTATATTGAATTACACTGATGAATTAATAAATCTCACAAACTCCTCAACTATATACTTGCCCACTTCCCAATAAACTCTCTATTTCTTTCAATCTGAAGAGGGTTTTAACTCGAAGGTGAACATGTTTCTTTTCTTCCTTTCTGTTGTCAGGGTAGGATGTGAGCCCTGTCTTCCCCTCAGCCTCTTCTCCAGCCTCTTAGCCCTCTCATGGGCCAGGCTACTTCTACATCTGCACTTGTACTATCCCTACAGACAGCATTACCCTCTTTGACAAAATAAAGTATTTTTGTGTTCCAAGTTTCAGTTCTATCAATTTGTCTCTCTGAATAAATATTTTCAAATCTTTATTATTTATTGCATTTTACCTATTTTAATCATGTTTTGTTTTCAAGTTTTACAATTGCTGTTAGCCTGGTAGTAGCCTTGACAGTTTTTAATGTCTACACATGTATGAACTTCACCTGAAATCTGCTTTCATCTTCTGGCAAGATGACCTACATCAAAACTGGCAGAATAAGTGTCAACAGGGAAAGTGGAAATCACACAGACAATGGTATAGCCTCCTTTATTGAGAAATGTTTTATTGCCATTAGTCTTCAAGCCACAGAGGATGATAAGATATCTATGGCTCTGTGAAAAATCTGACCTAGAACAATAAGAATCAGAATTTCAGGATACTGTGAAGTCATTTATGATCTAATTACAATATTGTTTTCATCTGTGTGTGAATAAACTTGTTCCTTTATAATTCTAAAAGGGTTTTTTCAACAAGTGTAAAATAAGTCTATTGTGTGCATAGTAGTATAACTGACAGAGATATTATCCTTTCCATATCAGAGGTACATAAAGGTTATGGAAAGGATTCCATACCCTTTCCATATTGAAGGTACATATTTATGGGATACATGTGAATATTTGGTATATTTGCATAATCAAATCAGTGTAATTAGGATATTCATCACTTTAAATACATTATGTAGTAAGGAGCATATCAGTTGAGACATATACTGTATGTCCCCACAATGAGACTCCTACAGACATTGTGCATTGGTCAATTCCGACCTTCTCTTTAGTATAACACATGACAGTTCCCTTATCTGTCTTTTTCTGTGAGTTTTACCCACAATACTCCTTATTCACCATAATACGGTTAACTAGAAGTATACAGAAAGGGGGAAGAGAAATGACTGAATAGGTGCAGGCAGAATGAATCAAGATGTTGTGGAGGAACTGGTAGGGATTAGATATCCCTCACCCACATGTGAAAACAACAACAAAAAAAATATAGAGACACCTGAGAACTGTCAAACAATGACATGAGCTCTTCTATTGCCTCAAGTTACTACTTCAAGGGAGTTTCCAGGCTGTGGTGTGGCATGGATTTGGAAGACACAATGATAGGAGAAGCTGGATCTGAGAGTCTGGAGAAGATTTCTGATGTAATCAAGCCGTTCTCCATATCCAGTGAACAAATGGGAGAAGCATTTTTGCCATCTTCCATCTGCCATCATTACTGAGAGATGGATCATAGAAATATGGGAATAGATTAGAAGAAAAAGGCAAAGACACAGAAGGAAGCCATTTGGATATACTTGGTTTTCAACACTTTCATTTCATACCAGACTTCAAAAAGACAGAGGCCTTTATATGATACAGCAATCTTGCAACCAGCCCAAGGATAAGTGAACATTCCTTAGAAATTAGATGAATGAAGTGTGTGAGTAGACTGAACCACCCCATGTGACACGAACTTGTCTTTGCTATGTCGTCTTGAGTATGGCGAATAAACTCACTACATTGTGAAATAACGGAAGTAGAGCTTCTATAGGAGTAGAACACAATTAGTTCCAACAAGAGGAAACTGGTAAGGCTTATCTCTTCTATTTGTTGCCTAGAAAACCTTGTTTCTTTTAAATTTGGGAACAATCTTGTCTTTGCTCCTCACTACATAAATGTTACAGTCTATAGATTTTGCAGAGTGTAGGCCTGCTCTTTATATGCAGTGAAATAAAATTAAATGGTGCCAGGCTCTAATATAATTATTTTTTTCAATATTTGCCCTTAAAATTTTCTGTGTACAGTATGGAAGCCCACAGATAGACTGCTGACACACTTGGGAAAACAAATGCCCATCTATTAATGTGCAGTAAAAGTATTACTGTGAAGTATCAATGTCCTGCTCTGTTGGTTGCTCATGTTTCATAAACCTCGAATATCTTTCCAGATATCCCCATTTCCAGAATGAGAAAATTGCATTACTTGCACAGGAATCATATTCTACTGAATCTCAGAGAATCACCCAGGGATGCTTCCTTCACAGGAGAATGTGTTCCTCTGAAGTTAATCATGCTGTCATTAAGACCCCCCAAATTGTAAGCCCTAGTTAAATCATAGTCTGTTTGTTGGAGTTCTGATTTTTTCTGATCTCTTCTTACTTCGTGTCTGTTGGTGGTTTAAGGTGAGACAACCCCTGTTCAACCCAGTTTGAGGAGTCCTATCTTCACTAGCTGGGACACTCAGCCATCTATTCACATATAAAGCAAGTCAGAGGAGTGTCAGAGTTTCAGCCTAGAACAATGGACATCAGTGGATCAGTTAAATAATAGGGAGAAGGATAAATTATAGACTAAGTCAACAAAATGAAAATCTAAAAAGTCAGGAGTGTAAAAATATTTTAAAAGTATTATGCTAGCTGAAAAAAATACAATATTGCAATTCCCCTTTTACAAGCCAATATAAAAATGTCTGCTGACTACAGCACAGGTATGTACACATTTTTAAGGCAGCACTATTTTACATCATTGAGAACTGAAAAAAATTTTAGTAAGCACTCATTAAAGAGTAAGAAGACAAAGCATGTCTACACTGTGGGTGATGAGTACAAAGAAATATCATGTACACAATTATGAAAGTGATGTGGAAGGAATCATGGACTCCAGCCAGTGTCTATAGCTATTGGGAAAGGAGCAAATTAAAAAATAAAACATGAGTGGGCCAGGCACAGTGCCTCACGCCTGTAATCCCAGCACTTTGGGAGGCCGAGGCAGATGGATCACGAGGTCAGGAGATCAAGACCACCCTGGCCAACGTGGTGAAACCCCGTCTCTACTAAAAATACAAAAATTAGCCAGGCGTGGTGGAGTGCACCTGTAGTCCCACCTACTCGGGAGGCTGAGGCAGCAGCACTGCAGAGGCTGCAGTGAGCCAAGATCACGCCACTGCACTCCAGCCTGGGCAACAGAAGAAGACTCCATCTCAAAAAAAAAAAAAAAGCTTTAGCACCATCCCCTTGATGCTGTCCTCACCACAGTGAGTGATTTCCTGAGATATTTGGCTGTTAAAAGAGTGTGGCTCCCGGCTCTCTCTCTCTTGCTCCTACTTTCACCATGTGACAAGCCTGCTCCCTCTTCACCTTCCACTGTGACTGGAAGCTTCCTGAGGCCTCCCTACGAGCTGAGCAGATGTCAGCACCATTTTTACTGTACAGTCTGCAGTTCCGTGAGCCAATTTAACCCTTTTTATTTCCATAAATTACCCAGTCTCTGTTATTTCTTTATAGCAATGCAAGAATGGCCTAATACGAATATAAAAGTGACAGAAGAAAAAATAGGTAAATTTCATTTTATCAGAATTAAAACTTTACTGATTCAAAGTATGGAATCCAGACAACCCAAAGAATGGGAGAAATGTGTGCAAATAATATGAGCGACAGGAGACTATTGTTTGAAGACATAGAACACTTACAGTTTAAAAATAAAAAGGGAAATATCCTAATTAAAAGTTGTGTAAATAAACATTTCCCAAAGAAACTATACAAATGTGTAATAAGAACATAAAACTATTTTCAACACCTTTGGTCCTTAGTCAAATGCAAATCTAAACCATTAAGAGATATACTTCTGAAATCTTAAGCATATTCTTAAGAAATAGAAGCCAGTTAGAAAAAGAGTATATACTGTGTAATTCCATTAATATGATATTATTGAAAAGATGAAGTTATAGAGATATTTAAAAAATAGTAGTACGGTCTTGAGGGAGGAAGGTCAAAGAGGTGAAATACAGATTTTATTTTTAAGCATTAAAATTATTTTCTATGATGCTATAATAGTGTGGTAATGATACTATTCTTCATATCCCGAAGAACTTTACATCAGAAAGAGTGAAACTTTACAAAAACAATAAGCATTATTTAATAACTTGGAGGATCCCAGGGAACAATGCAGACAAAATAATATAATTGTGTAATAAATTTATAAAGATGCCTTATAAAGAGCATGGGGGCAAATGGGACTAACCCAAGAAACCTAGAATATAAGCTTTCCTGTCTAAAGGTCAAAGGATTTGTACATAAGTACTCTAGTTGGTAATGTTCTTTCCCATGAGGGTGTGAATTACCAATTCTGAAACCACATTGCATGTATTTTGGGACTCACTGATTACATAAAGTTGGCCAACTGTCTCACTGTTAGAGTGAGAGGTTACATAGCAAGTAGTGGGAATTGGTGGAAAGATTAATGTTTACTAGATTATATTCAAGTAGTGCTGAAGACATTTGTAGAAATTCATGCTTAATTCTAGCCAGATATATATGGACAAATGTAGAAATACATGTATATATTCAGTACCCTATGAATCAACCTATCTATTCATTCACTTGTGTGTAGCCTAAAACTCTAATGGTGACCAAATTGGTTCTGTTAACTTAATCATACCATCTTTTTGGAATCTTAGTGGTATTTTTGGTGAATGGTATTAGAAATAATATCATATATACATATATATTATACACACACACACATATATGTGTATGTGAGAGAGAGTTACTATATACACATATACATTTCTTTGTTCTCTCAGATGACATATCATAGAATCAATCCATTCCTAGCGGTAAGGAGTATACCCACTGCCCCAAACTTTGTTTCTAATATCGTTCACCAAAAATTCAACTAAGGTTCTTTGGGAACAAAAAGATGGTATGATTAAGTTAACAGAATCAACTTGGTCACTGTTAGAGTTTCAGACTACATACAAATAAATGAATAAGTAGATTGATTGATAAGGTAATGAATTAGATCATGTGGTGCTGGAAGCAATATAAACATATGTTTAATTTCATATAGATATGTATAGATGTGCTGAAATATTTATGCAAACGTGTATATTTATGAGTAAACACAGATATATTTCTTTCCTTTGTCAGCTGACAGGGCCTTAAATCAACAAGATATAACAATGTTTATAGCATATGCACCTAATAACACAGTGTAAACTATAGGAGGCAGAAATTGATAAAACTGCAAGAAGAAAGAGAAGAATGTCAGGAGCAATGAGTATACCCGGTGTCGAGATCTTAGTTTGTGATTTCATTTTCCACTCAAAGAAACTAGAGTTTCATGAAAAAAAGTGAATACTAGGCTTGGGTGGGGAATAAAACACAATGAGCCTGGAGCATCTAGTAGTGCCAGAACTAAAGAAAATGTCAAACCACAACACAAATATCCAAGTAACCAACAGTAAATTAAACGCTAATCATGAGGGTATTTCAAAATGAGAGAATCTAACTGAAAGACATTCCAATGGCCATCATTGAACAATGAGAGCAATAAAACAAATGCATTAGCATAGGTAAAATTAAAAAAAATCCAGGTTTTCATATTAATATGAATAAATTATTGAATATTTAATAAGCAAAGAAGAATAGACACATGCTTATGGTGAGGGTTCTAAATAACTTTTGTAGACACACTGCTCATAAGGAGTGGAGCATGATCCCCCACTTCTTAAGTGTGTGTTGCATATAGTCACTTTTTTAAACATTAAGTATGGAAAGGGAAAAAAAGGTGTTTTTAGAGAAATTTGATAAAAAACTACTCATCCAGGTGATTAAATTAACATAAACCACGATATAGCATGTAGATAGCATGTTGCCTTTGATATAATGTGGGAGAAGGGCACTACCTCTGTGATTCTGCAATCATCAGAGATGATTCACAAATTCAGGGCAATGATCAGAGAAACATCAGAGAAATTCCAAAGTAGGAATGTCAATGTCATCACAAACAAGGAAATGGTGAGAAACTGTCACCATCTCTGTATCTAAGGAGACAGATACTAAATGTGATATGGTACCCTGGATAGAATCCTGGAACAGAAACTGGATATTAAGTGAAAATTGAGAACATCTGAATAAATTGTAAATTGTAGTTAAAGATTATATACTGTATTTTTAGTTTAATTGTGAATACTGTCCTGCACAAATCTAAGAGTTTAATAATAAAAGGAAACTTCATTGAGCATAAGAAAAGTCTCTTTTACTATATTTGCAATTGTTCTGTAAACCTAAAAATATTATCAAATTTAAAAGTTTCTCTGCTTTAATGTTTAGCTTAAAAATCATCACATCAGTAATATTGCTGATGTCCCTTTAATGTATCTCCTTAATTTCATCATCTTTAACCACTGAATGTAACTATTATTGTGAATTCAGTCTTTGGCATTACCTAATTTTCTTTATTATTTTTATCTCTTCGTAATTTGAAAGACTATATTGTTTAGTTTTTCTTGACTTTAAACTTAGATGAATGTGTTTAATTTACTACGCATCACTAGTCTAATCATAAGAAATTATCAGACGAATTTATATTGTGGGTCATTCTACAAAATGCCTGACCAGTACATTTCAGAAGAGCAAAGGTCATGAAAAATAAGTAAGAAACTCTTGCAGAATGGAGAAGACCTAATGTGATGTGCAGATGCTAAAATTTTTCCCAGTGGTCCTCACCTGTAAGTATACATAACCTTGAACTGTAATTCACTGTCTGTGTGTGTGGTCAGAAAACGTGACTTGCCTGCTGTGAAAATCAATTTATTGATTTTCTGCCTGGAAAATTTGCAATGGTGATGGTATGTTACTTGAATGATTATGTTACATTAGATTATAATTTCTGTCCTGCTGGCTGACTCTCCCTTGATGGATTTTTGTTGTTGTTTTGAGACGGAGTTTTGCTCTTTCACCCAGGCTAGAGTGAAGTGGTGCGATCTCAGCTCACTGCACCCTCTGCCTCCTGGGTTCAAGTGATTCTTCTGCCTCAGCCTCCTGAGTAGCTGGGATTATAGGCGCCTGGCACCATGCCTGGCTAATTTTTGTTTTTAGCAGAGATGGGGTTTTGCCATGTTGGCCAGGCTGGTCTCGAACTCCTGATCTCAGGTGATCCAACCGCCTCGGCTTCCCAAAGTGCTAGGATTACAGGCGTGAGCAACCGTGCCCAGCCTTGATGGATTTTATGAAGAATTCTTCCACTTGCAAGAAGCTCACTCGGGAAGGAATTTAGTCAGCCTATTGTCAGTAGCCAGCAAGAAATTGGGGCTTTCTATGCAATAGAATTCCATATAGCTTGCAAAACTACATCTAAAATTGGTCTAAGCTCCGTTCCTGAAAAGATCATACTGCTTCACAGGTAGTGTGAATACAATAAAAAAAAATCCTAATTTCTTTCTCCCTCCCTTTGTTCAAGAAACTGTTATCTGTTAGAATAAACAAATGGAAAATCATTAAAACAACACAAAATAAAACTGATATATAATTTATTTGTATAGCCACCTCTGAATGCCCAATCTGGCTGTAGCAGAGAACAACACTGAGCCCACAATATGACACCATTCTCTGAGGTGATCAGTTAGACACCTGAGGGTAGGTTGATTACATTGGACTGATTCCATCATGGAAGGGACAGAGTTTTGTTCTTACTGAAACAGACACTTACCCTGGACATAGATTTATGTTCCCTGTATGCAAAGTTTCTTCCAAAAATGTCATCCTTGGACTTACAGAATGCCTTATCCACTGTCGTAGTATTCCACACAGCATTCCTTCTGACTAAGGAACTTACTTCAAACTCAAACAAGTGTGACAATGGACTTTTGCTCATGGAATTCACTGGCCTTACCATGCTACTCATAATCTTGATGCACCTGACTTGACTGATTGGTGGAATGGCCTTTTGTTTTTGGGGGTTTTTAAATTTTGTTTTTAGTTTTTAATTTTTGTGGCTACATAGTAGGTGCATATACTCATGAGGTACGTGAGATACTTTGATATTGGCATGCAATATATAATAATCACATCATGGTAAATAGGCTATCCATTCCCTTAAGCATTTATCTTTTGTGTTACAAACAATCTAGTTATATTTTTTTGGTCAGGTTATTTATTTCTTCTTTTTTGATGCAGGTAGTTATATCTATAAATTTCTCTTTTAGTACCACGTTTTCTGTATCCTGTAAGTTTTGGTATGTTGTGTTTTGATTATCACTTGTTTCAAGAAATTTTTCAATTTCCTTCTTCATTTCTTCATTGACTCACTGGTTGTTCAGGAGCATGTAGTTTAATTTCCATATGTTTGTATAGTTTCCAAAATTCCTTATGTTTTTGATTTCAAGTTTTATTTCATTGTGTTCAGAGAAGATGCTTGATATTACTTCATTTATTTGAATATTTTAAGACTTGTATTGTGAACATATGGTCTGTCTATACTGAGGAGAAGAATGTGTATTCTGTAGCCATTGAATAAAATGTTCTGCAAATATCTAGTGAGTTCATTTGTTTTATGGTACAGATTAAGTCTAATATTTCTTTGTTGATTTTATGTCTGGAAGATCTGCCTAATACTAAAAGTAGGGTATCAAAGCCTCTAGCTATTATTATATTGGGATCTGTCTCTCTCTTTAGCTCTAATAATATTTGCTTTATACATCTGTGTGCTCCAAAGCTGGAGATATAGCTATATTTATATTATCTATATATCTATATTTAGACATATATATCTATATAATAGACATATATATCTATATAATAGACACATATATCTATATATAGACATATATCTCTATATAGACATATATATCTATATAATAGACATATATATCTATATATATAGACATATGTATCTATATATATAGATATAGATAGGTATATTTTTACAATTGTCATATCCTCTTGCTGAAGTGGCCCCTTTATTATTATGTAATGTCCTTGTTTGTCTCTTCCCATAGTTTTTTTTTCTTGAAATCTATTTGTCTGATTACCCTAAGTTACTCCTGCTCTTCCTTGGTTTCCATTGGAATAACTTTTTTCCATCCCTTCATTTTCAGTTTATAGGTGAAGTGTGTTTCTTGTATGCAACAGATCACTGGGTCTTCCTTTTTTTTATCCATTAAGCCACTCTTTGTCTTTTCACTGGAGAGTTTAGTCAATCTACATTCAACGTTATTGACAAGTAAAGACTTACTCTTGCCATTTTGCTATTTGTTGTCTGGTTGTTTTGTGTTCTTCTCTTCCTTCTTTTCCTTCCTTCCTGTCTTCCTTTTAGTGAAGGTGATTTTCTCTGGTGGTACGCTTTAATTTCTTGCTTTTTTGTGTATATATCCATCATATGTTTTTCTCAATTTGAGGTTACCATGAGGCTTGCAAATACTATCTTATGACCCATTGTTTTTAAACTGATAGCAGTGATTGCAGAAACAACCTAACAAGCAAAAAGGAAACTAATAAAAACTCTACATTTTAACTTCATACTACACTTTTTAACTTTTGTTATTTTTCTTTATGTCTTACACATGCAGTCTATGTCTTGAAAAATTGCCAAAGTTTTTATTTTGATTGGTTAATCATTTGGTCTTTCTACTTATGAATAATTTACACACCAAAATTACAGTGTTACACTATTCTGTGTTTTTCTGTGAGCTTACTATTACCATTAAGTTTTGTACCTGCAGATAATTTCTTACTGATCATCAGCAGTGTACTGGAAGCTCAGGTGAAACCCTCAGGCTCTTTGTTTCTTCCCCAGACTGAGGAAAGCAAGGGCTGAGCCATTGCTGTGGCACTGGCACGGGGGCTGTCAGTTGCCACTGGGAGTACTTCCCCAGGGAAACACAGAGCCACTACTAGTGGGTATGCTCAACAATGGGTGGGGAAGCTGCTCTGTGGTCCTGAGCCAGGGCCTTGACTGTTGAAGAGTTGGGGGTGGGAACTCGCAGGGAAGAGAAATTGGGCTCCTCTCCATATGGTGGCTACAGTGTGCTGGAGATGCCAGTGTAGTGCTTAGGCCATTTGTTCCTTTCTCTGCCTGAGGGCAGTTAGGGCAGTACCACTGCAGCTGCAATGGCAGAAGGGTTGTGGGCTGTCTCTGGGATTTTCTTCAAAGAGAAATGCAAAGCTGCCAGATGGAGTATTTTTTCTAAGATGGAGTCATTTATGTCAATGGTGTTCTACACAGGACAGGAACCTGCAGGTGGGGTAAAGTGGGGAATTGGAGTAATGGAGAAAGAGAAGTGAACAGGAACATCCAAGTCCATGATACTGTCAGTCAGCCTGCCTAGGGTCCTCTCTGCCTGTCTTCATCCTTGTCCTCCCCACACTCAAAGCCTCCTGATAGTGCTCATGTCTATCCCCAGAGGGCAGCGACCATCCTCAATTGTTCTGTCTTCCTGATGGGCAGACCACATGGGCTAAAGTAACATTTCAAGAAACTAGATCTAGACATTTAAAGTTCCTCTACACAGAATGTATTCCTCTCTGAGTTGCTGCTACATCACTGCCTGAGCTGCCCTCTCTCACTGGCTCAGTCCCTCCATGGTCTGCCCTTCCTGTTCCTGCAATCCTTACATTTCACTGAACCCAGCAGTCTGCTAATACCACTGCCCTCTTCTCACACCCTAGCCTGTGCTACAGACACACTTTTTTCTCTTCTCTTTCCTTTTTCCTGTTTGCTTGCCTCACTTCTCATTCTTCAGAATCTCTTCTATTGTTCCTCTTCCTATAGAATTTTGGTTCAGATTCAGAACTAGAACTTGAGAGAGTTAATAGTGTCTGTCTGCCTCTTGAGATGATGTGAGAATTGAGTGAACTAATATACATAAAATGTGTAGTCTAATCATTGTTCAGTAGTACACATTACATCAGCATTTGCTAATAGTGACTGCTTTTTCCAAGTACTTGCAGGAAGTATCATGTGCATCACGTATAAATACTTCATTATTTTATGTCACAAGCATAAAACCAGTGAAAAACTATAGCACTTATCACTTATAATTATCATTTATCACTTATAATTGCACAAGTAGCCAATGAGTAAAGTGACCACAGTGCCAGAGATGAAGATTATGCGTGTTCACACCAACAGGGACTTTCACTCACCAAGGCCAACCTGGCTACGGCTCCCTCTGACGGCTCCATCTGCCAGCATAATTATCTCATAATTATTGAAAATAACTTTTGAACTTTTATAAATGTGGCTATTTGTCTTAAAACACTCCTATGATCATATGTGATGGAATATAAAAGCAAAATACATGAATGAAAGTATTCCAAAATTTCTCTCAGTCAGGCCAAACTCTTCTGAATCACTTTTTAACTCATCTTGTCCACGAGTATTCCTCCATTATCATCATCTGTTAATTAGGACCTTTGATAATGCTACACTTATGGTGAGGGTCATATCAGACTTGGAAAACCAAGGAATACAATTATGTTAGTTGGTTGTTTCTAATGTTGCTAGGCAAAGTGATGAAGAAAAAACAAATTTTGAGATCCATCTTGACATAAGTAGGCTTAGAGGTTCTAAGTGTGCTCTAAGTGAAAATGTAACCAGCAAAAGGGTCCAGCTGCTCACCACTTACAGAAAAAAGCCAAAACAACAAGAGCAAGCTGTGACAGAAAGAGAGTGGGCTTTATATATGTGCTAGCAAAGGGAAGAGTGGGTGGAATTCTTTCCAAAATTTTCCACTTTTCAATTTGTGGAGGGAATATGGAGTTTTTTAGAGAGAGGGGTTTGGAATGCATGAGAAACAAGGAACTAAGAGGTGTCAGGTGATGTAACCCACTCCAGTGACTTGTCTTGAATTATTGTTCCATCTAGCAAAGGGGCCAGCACCATGGTGGGCTCAACCAAGTTACAAATCAATGGCAGTCACTCTTATAGTTAATGTTTAGCCAGGAGTGGGTTCTGGCCTTGAAGTAATCTTTTGTCAGAAAGGGAATTCCGGAGATGTCTGGTCTGTATCAGGACGCAGCCTCTGAAGCTCCTAAAAAAAATATCAGATGAGAGAGCATGGTATGTGCTTAACGAGCATCTAGGTGAATAAATGTGCATAAGGCTTGGGAGCATAAGCCAAGAAAGGGAAAGGGAGCGGAGGCTCACAGCACATTCTGAGACTGTATGTCAAGACGAAAGAAGACGTATTTCTAGTTTTTCTCAAAGCCACATCTTGAGACTGGGAAGAAAGGAGGAACAAAAACATTCTGAGGCTGTGAAACACATCTGTAGTTTGTCTCAAAGCTACATTTTGGGACTGGAGAGAAAGGAGGAAAGAAAAAAAAGTTTTAAAATGCAGTTTGAAGCTAAGTTGCTCTATTACAAGAATAATCTCTCCTGTAGCCACAGGGCCAAAATTGCTAAAATCCAAAGACAAGCCCAAATCACACAATTGGCTAAATTACAATGAAAGTTGAACTCCTGGTCTAGCAAGGGACCTACTATCAATTGAGGGCATTAGTTGGGAAAGAATGGGATCTTGTAAATTGGAATGGAAACCTCTGAAAACACTGATGAGGCTGGAGACATTGAGCTCTGAAATTCTGATGAGTCTCCAAGATAGCTAAATAGGAACAGCTCCAGTCTACAGCTCCCAGCATGAGTGACACAGAAGACAGGTGATTTCTGCATTTCCAACTGATTTCTGCATTTCCAGGTTCATCTCACTGGGGCTCGTTGGACAGTGGGGGCAGGACAGTGGGTGCAGCCCACTGAGTGTGAGGCAAAGCAGGGCGAGGCAAAGGGAAGGGGTGACAGACGGCACCTGGAAAATCGGGTCACTCCCACCCTAATAATGCGCTTTTCCAACGATCTTAGCAAACGGCACACCAGGAGATTATATCCTGCGCCTGGCTCGGAGGGTCCCATGCCCAAGGAGCTTCGTTCATTGCTAGCACAGCAGTCTTCAGATTGAACTGCAAGGCAGCAGTGAGGCTGGGGGAGGGGCGCCCATCATTGCTGAGGCTTGAGTAGGTAAGCAAAGCAGCTGGGAAGCTCGAACTGGATGGTGCCCACCGCAGCTCAAGGAGGCCTGCTTGCCTCTGTAGACTCTACCTCTGGGGGCAGGGGGTAGCCTAACAAAAGGCAGCAGAAACCACTGCAGACTTAAATGTCCCTGTCTGACAACTTTGAAGAGAGTAGTGGTTCTCCCAGCACGAAGTTTGAGATCTGAGAATGGACAGACTGCCTCCTCACGTGAGTCCCTGACCCCCGAGTAGCCTAACTGGGAGGCACCCCCCAGTAGGGGCAGACTGACATCTCACACGGCCGGGTACCCCTCTGAGACGAAGCTTCCAGAGGAATGATCAGGCAGGAACATTTGCTGTTCAGCAATATTCGCTGTTCTGCAGCCTCTGCTGCTGATACCCAGGCAAACAGGGACTGGAGTGGACCTCCAGCAAACTCCAACAGACCTGCAACTGAGGGTCCTGACTGTTAGAAGGAAAACTAACAAACAGAAAGGACATCCACACCAAAACCCCATCTGTATGTCACCATCATCAAAGACCAAAGGTAGATAAAACCACAAAGATGGGGAAAAAACAGAGCAGAAAAGCTGAAAATTCTAAAAATCAGAGCACTTCTCCTGCTCCAAAGGAACGCAGCTCCTCGCCAGCAAAAGAACAAAGCTGGACAGAGAATGACTTTGAAGCCTTCTTCTCTCAACTCATCAGACGATCAAACTTCTCCGAGCTAAAGGAGAAAGTTCAAACCGATCGCAAAGAAGCTAAAAACCTTGAAAAAAGATTAGATGAATGGCTAACTAGAATAACCAGTGTAGAGAAGTCCTTAAATGACCTGATGGAGCTGAAAACCATGGCATGAGAACTACGTGACGAATGCACAAGCTTCAGTAGCTGATTCGATCAACTGGAAGAAAGAGTATCAGTGACTGAATATCAAAGGAATGAAATGAAGTCGGAAGAGAAGTTTAGAGAAAAAAGGGTAAAAAGAAATGAACAAGGCCTCCAAGAAATATGGGACTATGTGAAAAGACCACATCTACGTCAGATTGGTGTACCTGAAAGTGACAGGGAGAATGGAACCAAGTTGGAAAACACTCTGCAGGATATTATACAGAACTCCCCCAACCTAGCAAGGCAGGCCAACATTCAGATTCGGGAAATACAGAGAATGCCACAAAGATACTCCTCGAGAAGAGCAACTCCAAGACACATAATTGTCAGATTCACCAAAGTTGAAATGAAGGAAAAAATGTTAAGGGAAGCCAGAGAGAAAAGTCGGGTTACCCACAAAGGGAAACCCATCAGACTAACAGCGGATCTCTCGGCAGAAACTCTACAAGCCAGAAGAGAGTGGGGGCCAATATTCAACATTCTTAAAGAAAAGAATTTTCAACCCAGAATTTCATATCCAGCCAAACTAAGCTTCATAAGTGAAGGAGAAATAAAATCCTTTACAGACAAGCAAATGCTGAGAGATTTTGTCACCACCAGGCCTGCCCTACAAGAGCTCCTGAAGGACACACTAAACATGGAAAGGAAAAACTGATACCAGCCACTGCAAAAACATGCCAAATTGTAAAGACCATCGATGGTAGGAAGAAACTGCATCAACTAATGAGCAAAATAACCAGCTAACATCATAATGACAGGATGAAATTCACACATAACAATATTAACCTTAAATGTAAATGGGATAAATGCTCCAATTAAAAGACACAGACTGGCAAATTGGATAAAGAGTCAAGACCCATCAGTGTACTGTATTCAGGAGACCCATCTCACGTGCAGAGACACACATAGGCTCAAAATAAAGGGATGGAGGAAGATCTACCAAGCAAATGGAAAACAAAAAAAGGCAGGAGTTGCAATCCTAGTCTCTGATAAAACAGACTTTAAACCAACAAAGATCAAAAGAGACAAAGAAGGCCATTACACAATGGTAATGGGATCAATTCAACAACAAGAGCTAACTATCTTAAATATATATGCACCCAATACAGGAGCACCCAGATTCATAAAGCAAGTCCTTAGAGATCTACAAAGCGACTTAGACTCCCACACAATAATAGTGGGAGACTTTAACACCCCACTGTCAACATTAGACAGATCCACGAGACAGAAAGTTAACAAGGATATCCAGGAATTGAACTCAGCTCTGCACCAAGTGGACCTAATAGACATCTACAGAACTCTCCACCCCAAATCAACAGAATATACATTCTTCTCAGCACCACATTGCACTTATTCCAAAATTGACCACATAGTTGGAAGTAAAGCACTCCTCAGCAAATGTAAAAGAACAGAAATTATAACAAACTGTCTCTCAGATCACAGTGCAATCAAACTAGAACTCGGGATTAAGAAACTCACTCAAAACCGCTCAACTACATGGAAACTGAACAACCTGCTCCTGAATGACTACTGGGTACATAACAAAATGATGGAAGAAATAAAGATGTTCTTTGAAACCAATGAGAACAAAGACACAACATACCAGAATCTCTGGGACACATTTAAAGCAGTGTGTAGAGGGAAATTTATAGCGCTAAATGCCTACAAGAGAAAGCAGGAAAGATCTAAAATTGACACCCTAACATCACAGTTAAAAGAACTAGAGAAGCAAGAGTAAACACATTTAAAAGCTAGCAGAAGGAAAGAAAAAAACTAAGATCAAAGCAGAACTGAAGGAGATAGAGACACCAAAAACCCTTCAAAAAAATCAATGAATCCAGGAGCTGGTTTTTTGAAAAGATAAACAAAATTGATAAACCACTAGCAAGACTAATAAAGAAGAAAAGAGACAAGAATCAAATAGATGCAATAAAAAATGATAAAGGGGATATCACCACCGATCCCACAGAAATACAAACTACCATCAGAGAATACTATAAACACCTCTAGACAAATAAACTAGAAAATCTAGAAGAAATGGATAAATTCCTGGACACATACACTCTCCCAAGACTAAACCAGGATGAAGTTGAATTCCTGAATAGACCAATAACAGGTTCTGAAATTGAGGCAATAATTAATAGCCTACCAACCAAAAGAAGTCCAGGACCAGACGGATTCACAGCCGAATTCTACCAGAGGTACAAGTAGTAGCTGGTACCATTCCTTTGGAAACTATTCCAATCAATAGAAAAGAGGGAATCCTCCCTAATTCATTTTTATGAGGCCAGCATCATCTTGATACCAAAGCCTGGCAGAGACACAACAAAAAAAGAGAATTTTAGACCAATATCCCTGATGAACATCGATGCAAAAATCCTCAATAAAATACTGGCAAACCGAATCCAGCAACACATCAAAAAGCTTATCCACCATGATCAAGTGGGCTTCATCCCTGGGATGCAAGGCTGGTTCAACATATGCAAATCAATAAACGTAATCCAGCACAGAAACAGAACCAAAGACAAAAACCACGTGATTATCTCAATACATGCAGAAAAAGCCTTTGACAAAATTCAACAGCCCTTCATGCTAAAAACTCTCAATAAATTAGGTATTGATGGGACGTATCTCAAAATAATAAGAGCTATTTATGACAAACGCACAGCCAATATCATACTGAATGGGCAAAAACTGGAAGCATTCCCTTTGAAAACTGGCACAAGACAGGGATGCCCTCTCTCACCACTCCTATTCAACATAGTGTTGGAAGTTCTGGCCAGGGCAATCAGGCAGGAGAAAGAAATAAAGGGTATTCAATTAGGAAAAGAGGAAGTCAAATTGTCCCTGTTTGCAGATGACATGACTGTGTATTTAGAAAACCCCATAGTCTCAGCCCAAAATCTCCGTAAGTGGATAAGCAACATCAGCAAAGTCTCAGGATACAAAAATCAGTGTGCAAAAATCACAAGCATTCTTATACACCAATAACAGACAAACAGAGAGCCAAATCATGAGTGAACTCCCATTCATGATTGCTTCAAAGAGAATAAAATACCTAGGAATCCAACTTACAAGGGACGTGAAGGAACTCTTCAAGGAGAACTACAAACCACTGCTCAATGAAATTAAAGAGGATACAAGCAAATGGAAGAACATTCCATGCTCTTAGATAGGAAGAATCAATATCATGAAAATGGCCATACTGCCCAAGGTAATTTATAGATTCAATGCCATCTCCATCAAGCTACCAATGACTTTCTTCACAGAATTGGAAAAAACTACTTTAAAGTTCATATGGAACCAAAACAGAGCCCGCATTGCCAAGACAATCCTAAGCCAAAAGAACAAAGCTGGAGGCATCATGCTACCTGACTTCAAACTATACTACAAGGCTACAGTAACCAAAGCAGCATGGTACTGGTACCAAAACAGAGATATAGACCAATGGAACAGAACAGAGCCCTCAGAAGTAATACCACACATCTATAACCATCTGATCTTTGACAACCCTGACAAAAACAAGAAATGGCTAAAGGATTCCCTATTTAATAAATGGTGCTGGGAAAACTGGCTAGCCATATGTAGAAAGCTAAAACTGGATCCCTTCTTTACATCTTATACAAAAATTAATTCCAGATGGATTAAAGACTTAAATGTTAGACCTAAAACCATAAAAACGCTAAAAGAAAACCTAGGCAATACCATTCAGGACATAGGCCTGGGCAAGGACTTCATGTCTAAAACACCAAAAACAATGGCAACAAAAGCCAAAATTGACAAATGGGATCTAATTAAACTAAAGAGCTTCTGCACAGCAAAAGAAACTACCATCAGAGTGAACAGGCAACATACAGAATGGGAGAAAAGTTTTGCAATCTACTCATCTGACAAAGGGCTAATATCCAGAATCTACAAAGAAAAACAAGTTTACAAGAAAAAAACAAACAATCCCATCAAAAAGTGGGCGAGGGATATGAACAGACACTTCTCAAAAGAAGACATTTATGCAGCCAACAGACACATGAAAAAATGCTCATCATCACTGGCCATCAGAGAAATGCAAATCAAAACCACAATGAGATACCATCTCACACCAGTTAGAATGATGATCATTAAAAAGTCAGGAAACAACAGGTGCTGGAGAGGAGGTGGAGAAATAGGAACATTTTACACTGTTGGTTGGACTGTAAACTAGTTCAACCATTGTGGAAGACAGTATGGTGATTCTTCAAGGATCTAGAACTAGAAATACCATTTGACCCAGCCATCCCATTACTGGGTATATACCCAAAGGATTATAAATCATGCAGCCATAAAGACACATGCACCCGTATGTCTATTGCAGCACTCTTCAAAATAGCAAAGACTTGGAACCAACCCAAATGTCCATCAATGATAGACTGGATTAAGAAAATGTGACACATATACACCATGGAATATTATGCAGCCATAAAAAAGGATGAGTTCATGTCCTTTGTAGGGACATGGATGAAGCTGGAAACCATCATTCTCAGCAAACTATCGCAAGAACAAAAAGCCAAACACCACCTGTTCTCACTCATAGGTTGGAAGTGAACAGTGAGAACACTTGGTCACAGGAAGGGGAACATCATACACCGGGGCCTGTCATGGGGTGGGGATGGGGGGAGTCGGGAGGGAAAGCATTAGGAGATATACCCAATGTAAAAGACAAGTTAATGGATGCAGCACACCAACATGGCACAAGTATACATACGTAACGAACCTGCACATTGTGCACATGTACCCTAGAACTTAAAGTATAATAAAAATAAAAAATAAAAAAGAAAGAAAGAAATTCTGATGAGTCTTGTTTGTCAGAGGAAGTGGCCTCCCGCACACATCCCCATGGCAGTGGCCTTCCCCCCAACAGTGTATGTATAGGCCCTTTCACCTCTGTCTGGGGAAATTAACGCTGCATTGCATGAGGAAAAAGTAATGAGCTTCCCTGAAGCAGTTGCCAAGGAATACAATGTTGCTTCTCTTCAGGCCCTACTCCAGCCACATTTTTTGCTTCCAGACCTATAAGACTCAAGTCCTAGCAGGCCATAAAGGTAATATATGATGCATGACCCATGAGAAGGTGCACCACACTGAAACAAACTACTTGAGTTTTCTAATTTATATAAGCAGAATCTGGGAACATTTGTGGAAATGGATTTTTAGGGTCAGTGTTGAATACAGTAAGAAATTCTTCTTCAAAGGTTTAGCCTTCTTAAATTTCCTTGTCCTTTTTTCCCTGCTTTCAAAGCCAGACTTCCTTACTCTCTGTGTTCCCCCTGCCCTGGTAAACAACTTTCCTGCTGGTCCTTATCTATAGGGCCCACATTCCACATCTGCTACCCACTCTGTGAATTACCCCTCCCATTGCAACAGCTACATTCGCCGAAACTGATCTTCCCACCTTCCTACTGGTATAACTGCATTCCTGCACTTTTCAAGTTAGCCAATTGGGTTTAGCTTACATTGTGTGATCCAACTCCAGCCAATGGAGGCAGGACACAGTAAACAGGGAATGAGCTGCATTAGAGATAATAAAAACCTCTGCTTTCCTCTGTTTGTGTGTGCTCTCACGGTGACCAGACCTACGAGGGGCACCCTCCTGCAGGAGTAAATTTGCCTTGCTGAGAAAATTTATATGCGAGTGGCGCTATTTTCTTTTATTTTGCAGCACTGAAAAATCTCCTTCTAACAGTCAGAATAATGGTGGAGGGAACATAAAGTTGGATGAGGACAAGTTTATCGATATGAGCTCACTAAGCAAATATTCTGCTTCAAATGTCACAGCTTGGGGATTTAGGAATGGTGTTAGCAGTTTGTTGCAACGTTTGGCTGAATTCTAGTTCTAAGAGTGGTTTACCATGAACAAGTTGGAGATGCTCTATCTCTCTTTGTTTACCTTTGAGGAAGGAATTTAGAAACTCGGGGAGAGTGAAATGCTAGAGTGGATTTGTCACTGACCCACACAGAGAAGGTCCAGAAGACATACTTTTTAATGATACTTTGAGAAATAGATTAGTGTGGGAAGCCCCAGTGTGTCTTAAGAACTCTGTGATCTCTCTTCCCTGTAGGCTAGATCTTATAATGGAAACCACAGACCATCACTTAAAATATTTAAGTGCAATGGAAATGTTGGATCTCAGGGGGCCTTGGGGCCAAGTGACAGCAATCAACCTTCAAAGGCTAGTCGGCATTATTATGTAAATGAGCAGCAAAGGCAAAGCAACAATCAAATTGTTCTGACTCCTATGTATCTGTGATGTTTGCTAGTTAGCCATGGTGTTCTTAAAAAGTAAATAGATAGAAAGCTTTCTAAAGGCTTACTTGGTCTGAAGAAGCAGAAAAAATTCAGCTCAAGTAAGCAAAAGTCTAACTGGAGTCATAAAAAAGCACAGAATCATAGCCCCACATTCAATTCTCACACTTCAGCCAGTTTACAGTCCCAGAACTCCTTGTAAGAAACAGCAGCCAGGTCTCCTCAAAGAAGGATGCAGGTACACTACCTACATTTTATACTGTTAATTTTTCTTCTATCCTTCCTTGAAGAGATCTATTATACAAGTTTGTACCACAGTCTATCCACAAAAAAAGGGAAGAGGCAAAAAAAAGTGAAGACAGTTGTTTCCATGTGAATGTCCACCAATGTGTTATCTCAGCAGAGGACGTCTGCAATAATCAAGTGGATGGGATAATGCATTCTGAGATACTTGTTATCCTCTTTCTCCAGCCACACTTGTCATTGCACCACAGGCTAATGAATAAAGTGACCATGGTGTCAGGGATGATCATGCATGCTCACACCAACAGGACTTTCACTCACCAAGGCCAACCTGGCTGTGGCTCCCTCTGAGTGGTCCATCTGCCAGCTGCACGGACCAACACTGAGTCTCTGATATGACACCATTTCTCAGGGTGATCAGCAAACTACCAGTTTTTGGATGATTATGTTGAGTATCTTTCATCAAGAAAGGGGCAGTGTTTTGCCCTTACTGGAATAGACATTTACTCTAGATGTGGATTTTACTTCCTTGAACACAAGATTTCTGCCAAAACGATAATCTGTGGACTAACAGTATGCTTTACTCATCATCGTTGTATTCCACACAACATTAGCTCTAAGGAACTCAAATCACAGCCAAAGTATTGCAGCAGTGGGCTTATGGTCATGAAGCTCACTGGTCTTACTGTGTTCCCCATAATCCTGAAGGAACTAGCTTGATAAATGGTGGAATAGCCTTTGGGACTCACAGTTGCAGCACCTTCTAGGTAACAATACTTTTCAGGGATGGGGCAAGGTTCTCTAGAATCCTGTATATGCCGTGAATCAGCAACCATTATATAATACTCTTTCTCCCCAAACCAGAATTACAGATTTAGGAATCCAGGGACAAAAATGAGAATGGCACCACTCATATTACTCTTAATGTCTCCCTAGTGAAATATTTACTTTCTGCTCCTGGAACAATATGCTCTGCTGGCCTAGAGGTCTTAATTCTAGAGAGAGGAATGTTGCCACTAAAGACACACCAATTAGTTCATTGAACTGAAGGTTAAGACTGCCATTCAGCCACACTGGGCTCCTCATGTTATGAAATAACAGGTGAAGAAGTGAGTTGTAGTGTTTGTTGGGGTAACTGATCCAGACTACTAGGGGAAAATTGAACTAGTACTCCACAATGAAGGTATGGAAGAATATGTCCAGAATACAGGAGATCTCCTGGCACCTGCTGTGGCTGGAATATTTGTCTTTCACCAGACTCATTTTAAAAGTTAATCCCCAGTGTGGCAGTATCAAGTGGTGGGACCTTTAAGAGGTGATTGGATGGATAATGAGTGTTCTGCTTTCCTAAGTGGATCGTCTGTTAGACTAGGCAGATGGACAAACATGAACAGAAAAGGCGGCCCTGAGAAGTGCAGTCCTGGCAAAGGAAGCCTTCGAAACTTCACTCCACTAGGAACCAGTGCCCACTGTCAATCAGAAGAAAACAATAGCCACTTCTGGACTTGTGGTTAGGCTTATCTGGCCCTAAACTGGGACTTACCTGGACCTAATGGGAGGTAACTTCAGTAGGGACTTTCCCCAGTAGCAAGCATGTGCACTTCCCTCTTGTCACCCTAAAAGTGGCCTTTTGCTCATTATAATAGTAAAAAATACACCCCTGACTGGAGATTTAAGATGCTAATATGACATGCGATGCATGTACGAGCACATTTGGCCACAAGGCATGTGCACCCAGGAGACCACCCAAAACATGCTTGCTAGTAACAGCCCTTTATACACCTTTCATGAATAATCATGTAAGACTCCCCATAAAGCAGCTTCCCCAGTGCTAATATTCGCTGTCTCCTTTTTCTAGCAGCCTGTCCTGACTCAGCTTTCAGAGTGTACTGCCGCTTTAAATACACCTTGTTACTTTTTTTTTTTTTTTTTTTTTTTTTTTTATACAGAGTCTCGCTCTGTTGCCCAGGCTGGAGTGCAGCTGCAGGATCTTGGCTCACTGCAACCTCCGCCTCCTGCTTTCAGGCGATTTTCCTGCCTCAGCCTCCTGAGTAGCTGGGACTACAGGTACACGCCACCATGCCTGGCTGATTTTTGTATTTTTAGTAGAGACAGGGTTTCACCATGTTGGCCAGGATGGTCTTGATCTCCTGACCTCGTGATCCACCTGCCTTGGTCTCCCAAAGTGTTGGTATTACAGGCGTGAGCCATCATGCCCGGCCAAATCTTGTTACTTCTTACCTCTCTTGCCTTAAATTTTTTTCTGTAAAAAGACAGGAAGTGAGGACCCCACACTTCCCAGTAACACATCTATTTATGGATTAATGTGTTAATGGATTAGTGAGTTATCAGGTCAGGGCAACTGGTGGCTTTATAAGAGGAAAAGAGATCGGTCCTACCATGCTCAGCCCTGAGCCAGGTGACACCTGCATGATATGACCTCAGGACTCTTTAGGGAGTCCTCACTACCAAGAGGCTTTCACCAAATGTGGCCCCGCATTTGGTGACTTATTATGAAGACTTATAAGCCTTCATAACTGTAAGAAATACATTTCCTGTTTTCATAAATTACCCAGATTTTGTTGTATTCTATTACATGCAACAGAAAAGAGACTAACACAGAAAACGGGTAATGGGCAGAGGCTGGAAGACTGGAGAAGCAGGCTAGATAAAGCCTACATTGTTGTAAGGGTTAGATACAAGAAGACTAGGAAAAGTTTGGGAGTCCTTATAAATTGGTCAAGTGGTTGTGACAAGACTGCTGTTGACCAAAAAAGTCAAACTCTGTAAAATATTTAGAGAGATTTATTCTGAGCAAAATATGAGTGACCATGGCCCATGACACAGCCCTCAGGAAGTCCTGAGAACATGTGCCCAAGGTGGTTGGGGTACAGCTTGGTTTTATACATTTTAGGGAAGCATGAGACAGCAATCAAATATGTTTAAGGAATACATTGGTTTGTTCCAGAAAGGCAGGACAGCTTGAAGCAGGGTAGGGAGTGGGGGGTGGGGTTACAGGCTATAGATAAATTTAAGCATTTTCTGGTTGACAATTGGTTGAGTTTTTTCCAAGGACCTGGGATCAATAGAAAGGAAATGTTCAGGTTAAGACAAAAGACTTTGGAGACCAAGGTTCTTTTGAAGTCTCATAGCCATTGCACTTAGAGATAATAGATGACAAATGTTGCCTATTCAGACTTTAAAAGGTGCTACACTCTTACCTAATCTATTCAGAATTGGAAGGGCCTGACAGACAAAGGTCGAGGTATAGAGATTATACCTCGATATAGAGGTTAATAGAGATTCTTTACAGATATAGATATAGAGGTTATAGATATAGATTATATTATATTATATATATAGAGGCTAACATATAGATATATATTAACCTCTATAGATATAGAGGCTAATAGAGATTCTTTACAGACGTGAATTTTCCTCCACAAAGGATGGCTTGCAGGACCATTTCAAAATGCAACAAAGAAACATGTTTTTGGAGTAAAATATTTTGATTTTCTTCCTTCTTTTGTAATGTTATGCCACAGTCAGGTTGGAAAGTAAGTCACGATATACAGGGTCAAATAAAACCCATCTGATGAGAATTTATCATTTGTAGGGCATGACTCCCCAGACCTTTTAGATAGGAATTTGGGCAAGATAAAAAAATCAGAGTTTAGTCCTCACTGCTGATAGAAATACTGACATAAGGGCCATTCTGACAAAATGTCAGATGAAACTAAAAAACAAGATATTAGTAACTGCAGTAAAGGCCATCCCTGTTTTGATTGGGTAAAGAACGGCTGACCTGTATCCGTGACCAAGGGCTTTGTGAGAGGCCTAACTACTTAATGATGAACTAGGGAATCTGGAAGAAGAAGTTTCTAAGCAGCAAAGTGTTCAGTCCATCGTGTGTTTACTTCCAAATGCTTCATGTGAACTGATAGAGAAAAGAAAAAAGACAAGAAAACAATTAAAAAATGTTGTAGCCTGCCCATGTGGTAGAGAATAAAAGAGCATTTCCAGGAGAAAAACCCAAGTGTTTGGCAGAGCCACAGCTTGCCAGAGATTAGCGTGGCTAAACGGGAGCCAGGTGTTAATAGTCAAGACAACGGGAAGGAGGTCCCACAGCATTTCAGTCATTTTCAGGCTGCCCTCCCATCACAGGCCCAGGGGTTCTGGAGGACAGGATGGTTTCTGTGGACAAATGAAGGCACTGCCCTGTGCCAAGTCAGGATGCTGCTCCCTGCATTCCAGATGTTTTGGGTAAAGTAGCCTCAGGTGGGGTTTGTGCCCCAGCTCTTGGATGTAAAAGTCCTAAACCTTGGAGATGTCCCTGTGGTGCTAATTCTGTAGGCTTACAGAAAGCAAGAGCTTTGAAGACTTGGCAGCCTCCACAATTTTCTTTCGATTTCTTTGCAAGCCTGGGAACCGAGGCTGAGACTTGTCACAGGGCAGAGCCACTGCAGAAAGCCCCTAATAGAGCAATGCCAAGTGCCAACGTGGGCCTGGAGCTGCTACAAAGAGTTCCCATCAGGGAAATCCCTAGTGAAGCCATGGAAATGAGGTCACCACAGACATTCCTCACTAAGTTAATGATTAGTGGACTAGAGGAAGTAGTACCACTACCAGGACCCCAGAATTGTGAAGTCACCTACACTATGTAATGCCTGTCTGGGAAACCTTTAAGTACAATCAGTAAAAACAGCTGAATGAACTGCACCAAGAAAATCCATAAAGGTGATGCTGCCTGAGACATTGTGGGGTCCAACCTCCACTCCAGTATATTCAGGAGGTAGAACATTAAGTCACCCATTTGGAGATTAGTTTTCAGTTAAGGAAATGATATGGGTGCTGTATTAGTCTATTCTCATCCTGCTAATAAACACATACCTGAGACTGGGTGATTTATAAAGGAAAGAGGTTTAATTGACTCACAGTTCAGCATGGCTGGGGAGGCCTCAGGAAACTTACAATCATGGAAGAAGGGGAAGCAAACACGTCCTTCCTCACATGGTGGCAGGAAAAAGAAGTACTGAGCAAAAGCGGGGAAAGCCCCTTTTAAAACCACCAAATCTCATGGGAACTCACTCACTATCACAAGAAGAGTAGCATTGGGTTAAGTGACATCATGATTCAATTACCTCCCACCAGGTCTCTCCCATGACAGTGGGGATTATGGGAACTACAATTCAAGATGACATTTGGGTGGGGACAAAGCCAAACCATATCTTTCCAGCCTTGGCCCCTCCCAAATTTCATGTCCTCATATTTCAAAACACAATCATGCCTTTTGAACAGTCCCCAAAAGTCTTAGCTCATTCCAGGATTAACCCAAAAGTCCAAGTCCAAAGTCTCATCTGAGACAAGGCAAGTCCCTTCCACCTATGAGCCTGTAAAATCAAAAGCAACTTAGTCACTTCCTAGATACAATGAGCGTACAGGCATTGGATAAATACACCTGTTCCAAGTGGGAGAAGTTGGCCAAAATGAAGGGCCAGTAGCACCTGCAGCATGTGGGAATTATGGGAACTACAATTCAAGATGACTTGGGTGGGGACACAGCCGAACAATATCAGGTGCCAAGTGGAAAAGTGATGGGCTTGGGATGGTTAATTTTATGTATCACACTGACTGGATTAATGAATACCAAGAGAACTGGTAAAACATTACTTCTGAGTCTGTGAGTGAGGAGTTTGGTGTGTGCGTCATTTGACTGAGGGGTAAAGATCCACCACCAAGAAAAACAAGCACCATCCAATCTCCTTGAGGCTAAATACAACCAAAAAGGCAAAATTTTTTTCCTGTCTCTCTCTCCTGGAGGAGGGATATTTCTTTTCCTGTCCTTGGACAACAGAAATCAAAGATGTCTGCCCTTGAAACTCAGGGCTTACTCAGATTTTTAGGCTTTTGGCCTTAAATTGAGAATTACCTCAAGGGCTTCCATGGTTCTGAAGATGTGATGTTGGACTGGGCCACATTACCAGCATCTTAGGGTCCTAAGCTTACAGATGACCTGCCTTGGGACTTTTCAGCCTCTATAATCACATGAGCCCATGCCTAATAAATTGCCTCTATATCTATCTATCTATCTACCTATCTATCTCCATCATCTATTGGTTTTGTATCTCTGAAAAACACAGATTATACACCAATAAATGCTTCAGCCTGCTGGTCCATCATGCATTTTTCTCTCTCTTTGCTCCCCTTGACCCCTGCTGTTTGGGAGTGTTTGTTTCAGAGAGTTCTCCCCTTCCCATTGGCCCTCCAAAGAATGCTGCCCTCTTCTCTCCAGGATCTGTTAGTCATAAACTGAGGGATATTTCATGCCTTTTGTTGTGTTGTCTCTTAGGTGTCTCACTTGACCAACATACTTGGACCTCACGTTTTTGTCCCCCTCAGTACTCTTAAAGAATGTCTACCTTGGTAGGAATAAACTGAACATGGGTCAGAAAGGAGCCATAAGGATGTATTCCAATATAAATGGGTATTCTGTGAGAGAGAAACCTGGTTACAGGTCAGACAATTAGACATTAGGCCATCCACCAGCATAAATAAGCATCCCATGAAAAGCATACCGTGAAAATTCAGTACTAAACCCTCGAGTCCTGTTGGGCAGGGCTATAGTTTATAGCCATGATGCAGAGAGAAACCTCAAAAGCAAACAAGAAATGACAGAAATAAAACAAATATGGTGAGATAATTAGTCTATAGTTCAAGTTATACATTGAGGAGGAAGATAGACATGGCACTGAGTTACATGAAAGTTTGTATTGCTTTCTAAAAACAGAAAAATCTGTAGCAGGAGAATTCCAGTCCTAATCAAATAAATATGAACAATGATACCTAAAAATTACAGTCCAACTCAAATATTTATTTATTTGAGACAGGGTGATGCCATTTTGCCCAGGCTGCAGTGCAATGGCTATTCACAGGTGCAACCATAGCAAACTATGACCTCAAACAGCTGGTCTCAAGTGATCCCTCTGCCTCATGCTTCCTAGCAGCTGGGACCACAGACACGCTACCACGCCTGGCCAGATCCTATTCTTAAATCCAGAAAAGTTGCATAACTATAAATTTTTCTTTCTCAGTTGTCTTTATGATCATATAGATGATAATCATACAAACCACTTTATAAATAGTCAAGGCAAGTGTAGATGCATTATGGTATTCATAAAATATTCTGCTCTGGGCCAGGTGCAGTGGCTCACGCCTGTAATCCCAGCACCTTGGGAGGCCGAGGCAGGTGGATCACGAGGTCAGGAGATTGAGACCAGCCTGGCTAACATGGTGAAATCCCATCTGTACTAAAAAATACAAAAAATTAGCCAGGCATGGTGGCAGGCGCCTGTAGTCCAGCTACTTGGGAGGCTGAGGCAGGCGAATGGCATGAACCCAGGAGGTGGAGCTTGCAGTGAGCCAAGATCATGCCACTGCACTCCAGCCTGGGTGACAGAGTGAGACTCTGTCTCAAAAAAAAAAAAAAAAAAATTTTCTGCTCTGCCCCCTTGTTACTCTGGCAAACTCTAGTTTCGGATAATTGAGAAAATAAACGGGCTTTGGTACTCCTTAAATAATAGAGTAAATGAAAAATAAATTCATATAATTCATAATTTATAATGTTTACTATATTTGCACCCAGAGGTTAAGGTTCCAGGAAGAGTCAATTAAGTTTAGACCAAGTTATGATGTCAGATACTCGAATTATGTCTCTACTCTTTAATTTTGAAATAAATTTATATTTACGGAAAGTTAAAAAATATTATATAGGATTTCATCTACCCTACAACTTCCTTTAATGTTGACAACTTATATAACCATAGATAGAATATGTATGAAAACATGGAAATTGATAAAGGTATAAAACTACTAACTAAAGTACAGACTTTATTCATATTTTACCAGGTTTTCTACTGATGTCATTTTTAAATTTTTGGATTCACTCCAGGATAACACATTACACTTACTGTCAGATGCATTACTTATTTATTGCACCATAGCCAGTTGCCACATAACTCAGAGGCTAAAAAAACCACACATACATATTACTCACAGTTTCTCTGGGTCAGAAATCCAGATGTAGATGTTGCTGAGGACTCACCTGAAGGATCAGCTGGGGAGGGATCATCTTCCAAGCTTATAGTGGTTGTTAGGAGTCAATTGTTGCCCAGGTAGAGAAGACCTCAGTGGTAACTTTCTCTTGACCCATTAAAAACTTAATAATGATCCTTCATTAATTCTTCATAAAAGAAAATAAAAACAACAGAGGAGAGATTACTGCCTAATGCATTCTATGAGGCAGATTACTCTGATATTACAACTAGACAGAGATATTTTAAGAAAGGAAAATTGTAGGCTGGGCATGGTGGCTCACATCTGTAATCCCAATACTTTGGGAGGCTGACGTGGGTGAATCATCTGAGGTCAAGAATTTGGGACCGGCCTGGCCAATATGGTGAAACCCTATCTCTACTGAAAATACAAAAATTAGCTGAGTGTGGTGGCAGGTTCCTGTAATCCCAGCTACTCAGGAGGCTGAAGCAAAAGAATTGCTTGAATCCAGAAGGCGGAATGTGCAGTGAGCCAAGACTATGCCACTGCACTCCATCCATCCTGGGCAACAGAGAGAGACTCCATCTCAAAAATAAATAAATAAATAAAGAAGAAGAAGAAGAAAGGAAAATTATAGACCAATATGTCTTATGAATACTGAGGCAATAATCCTCAAAGAAATAACCAAATAATTCAGGTTCCTAAAACACGTTTATACACTCTGACTAAGGGTACTTATGTCAGGATTGTAAGTTTGATAAAATATATAAAAACAATTAATGTAATACATTTTATTAATAGATGGAAAAACAAAAGCCTCATGATGATCTCCAAGGATATGTAACAAGCATTTGAAAAATCCCAAACCTACTCATGGTAAAAACATGAAAAAATTATGCAGGAAAGGGAATGTTCTTTACTTGAAAACAGACATCCATGAAAAGCTCACATAACAACACATGGTATCAAGAAAGTCTCAGTAATTTTTCCAAGATTAAAAACTCAAAAAGGTTATCCATTACCACCATTCTATTATAAATTGTAATTGAGGATATAGTCAATAAGTTACGCTAGAAAACTAAATATAACACTATCAGAATTAAATGAATCAGGCTGGGTGCGGTTGCTCGTGCCTGTAATCCCAGCACTTTGGGAAGCCAAGGCAGGTGGATCACCTGAGGTTGGAAGTTCCAGACCAGACTGGCATGGTGAAATCCCGTCTCTACTAAAAGAATACAAAAGTTAGCCAGGCATGGTAGTGGGCGCCTATAACCCCAGCTACTCGGGAGGCTGAGGCAGGAAAATCACTTGAACCTAGGAGGTGGAGGTTGCAGTGAGCTGAGATCGTGCCACTGCACTCCAGCCTGGGCAACAGAGCAAAACTCCATATCAAAAACTAAATAAAAGAAATCAAACTGTCTCTATGTGCCAGTAAAATGATCTAGTATATACAAAATCCTAAGGAATCCACTAATATAAGATTAGAACATAAAATTCAGTAATGTTGTAGCATACAAGGTCAATAAAAAACAAATGCATTCTATTATACTGCAAATCAGCTGAAAAATGAACCTCAAAAAACAATTCCACTTAATATAGCTGGGAACCCTGTACAAGGCAACTGTACACTGGGCCTCATTCCTGGCCCCCAGTGATTTCTGAGGAAGGGGTGAGTTGAACAGGCAAGGAGTGATCTACTCTTACTACGGCCATCTGGAATCCTGGCAGCAACCCATGACCACCAAGGACACTTGAGCTTGCAGGAAGAGCTGTTTAGAGAGGTAATAAGGGTAGGACTCCAGCCTGTGTAGAGCCCAGAGGGTTTGTTGCTGGAATGTCTGTAGCGGAGCACAAGAAGGGATGCCCATTACCCAAGGCTCACCGTGCTCCCCTAGGAGACTTCAGTCTTAGGTCAACTGTTGGACTTGAACACAGCAGGGTGATCTTGCCTGTGAGATGGGGCTATTCCAATCTCAGTGACCCCTATCTGCTGGTTTCTCCTAGAGCCCCAGCTTGGCTGCACTCGCTTGTAGTGCAGCCTCACATCCCTAACTAAGCTGCCTCCCAGGGGCCCACATCATACCTGCTTCACTGCAGCCTGTGCTAGACTGTCAGGGAGCTCCAGCAGAGTGTTCCCTGTTGACATACACCCAGTCCACCCACACCCAAGGCTGACTACAGCCTCCCCCATGCCACTTTACTGGCATGCACTTGCCCACAGTCACCTTGCTACCACTTTGCCAGCACATGTGTGCATGTGGGCAGACCTCACCTTCTCTCCTCCACCTGCCCGTGTGTGCACATGCACCTCTCTGGGCCACTGCTGCTGGCATGAGTACACCCCCTGCCTCCCCTGACTGTGTTGCCATTGCTGGTGTGAATGTACCCATGGGGGCCAGCAGTCCAGCAACCACCAGTGCCCTATCCCAGCTGAGGCATGTGCTCTTCAGTGTGCTGCCACTGCTGCTGACATGTGCAAATAAGCATGGATTCTACCATCGCCACCCTGATAGAGTGCTTTAGCCAGCACCACCCATTGGAGTGTTCTGGCCAGTTGTTCGTAAATATCTTGCCCTTCCAGTGCAGCAGGTTCCTAACTTTGACAGGACAGAGAACAAAGCTGGAGGCTGGATATCAGCCTCACAGAGTTAGAGCACACATCCCAGGAGTACTGAACTCAGCCTAAAATCTTCCAGAAATAAAGCCAATTGACTTACCCCACCATATACCACAATCAAATCCCCAGGGGCATCAAAGAAGATAAAAGCAAAATAACTCATCCAAAGGACAATAATTACAAAGACTGAAGGAACATCAGCCCACTTCCCAAATAATGGTTCTTAACCAGGTTGAAATGGCTGAAATGACAGAAATAGAATTCAGAACATGGATAGGAACAAAGATAATCAATATTCAGAAGAAAGTCAAAACCCAATCCAAGGTTTCCAAGGTATAAAATAAAATGATACAAAAGATAAAAGACAAAATTGGCATTTTAAGACATAACAAAACTCATTTGATAGAGCTGAAAAAAATCACTTCAAGAATTTCAGAATATAATGGCCACTATTAACAGGAGAATCAACCAAGCATAGAAAAGAATCTCAGAGGCTGGGCGTGGTGGCTCATGCCTGTAATCCCAGCACTTTGGGAGGCCAAGGTGGGTGTATCACGAGGCCAGGAGATCGAGACCATCCTGACTAACACAGTGAAACCCTGTCTCTGCTAAAAATACAAAAAATTAGCCAGGCATGGTGGCAGGCGCCTGTAGTGCCAGCTACTCAGGAGGTTGAGGCAGGAGAATGGTGTGAACCTGGGAGGCAGAACTTGCAGTGAGCCGAGATCACATCACTGCCCTCCAGCCTGGGTGACAGAGCGAAACTCCATCTCAAAAAATAAAAATAAATAATCTCAGAGCTCAAAGACTGGTTCTCTGAAATACCTCAGATGAAAATTTTTAAAAAGGTGAAAGAATAATATACAAAACCTCCAAGAAATATGAGATTATGTATAGAGACCAAATTATGGCTTATTGGTGTCCCTGAAAGAGAAGGAGTGAAAGAATGCCACTTGGAAAACATTCTAGGATATTATCCAAGAAACTTTTCCCAAACTCGTTAGAGATATCAACATTCAAATTCAGGAAATTCAGAGAAATTCAGTCAGATACTACACAAGACGACCATCCCTAAGACACTTAGTCAACAGATTCTCCAAAGTTGAAATGAAAGAAACAATGTTAAAGGCAACTAGAGAGAAGGTGTAGGTTACCCACAAAAGGGAACATTATCACACTAACAGTGGACCTTTCAGCAGAAACCTTACAAGCCTGAAGAGACTGCAGGAAGTGGGGGTGAGGGGGTGGGGCAGGATGTATATTTAGCATTCTTAAAGAAAAGAATTTCAACCAGGAATTTCACATCCGATCAAACTAAGCTTCATGAGTGAAGGAGAAATGAGATTATTTTCAGACAAGCAAATGCTAAGGTAATTCATTACCACCAGACCTGCCTTACAAGAGACCCGATGGGAGTGCTAAATATGGCAAGGCCATTACCAGTCACTACAGAAACACACTTAAGTACATAAAGCATTAACACTATAAAGTAACCATACAAAAAAGTCTGCATAATAACCAGGTAACACAATCACAGGATTAAATCTATACATATCAATATTAATCTTGAATGTGAACAGGCTAAATTCCCTAATTAAAAAGTACAGAGTGGCAGGTTCAGTACAGAAGCAAGACTCAACTGTATGTTGGCTTCAAGAGACCCACTTCAAGAGACCACACTCAGGCTCAAAGTAAAGGGATGAAGAAAAATCTACCAAGCAAATGGAAAATAGAAAAAAGCAGAGGTTACTATTCTAATTTCAGGCAAAAAAAAAAAAAGACTAAAAAAATAAAGATAAAAAGACAAAGAAAGGGTAAAGGGTTCCATTTAACAAGAAGATCTAACTATGACAAATATATATGCACCTAACACTGAAGCACGCAGATTCATAAAATGAGTTCTTAGAGACCTAGAATACACTTTGATAATCACAAAATAATAGCCACAGAATTCCAAACCCCACTGACAGTATTAGACAGACCATCAACTTGGAAAACTGATGAAGATATTTATGACCTGAAGTTGACACTTAACCAAATAGATCTAATGAACATCTAAGGAACACTTCACCCCAAAACAACAGAATATACATTCTTCTGAACACATGGCACATACCCTAAAATTGAACATACACTCAGTGATAAAACAATCCTCAGCAAATTAAAAAAACTGAAATTATACAAACCACATTCTCAGAATAGAAACCAATACCAAGAAAATTACTCAAAACCATACAGTTACATGGAAATTAAGCAACCTTCTTCTGAATGATTTTTGGTTAAATAAAGAAATTAAGGCAGAAATCAAGAAATTCTTTGAAACTAATGACAGCAAATATACAACATACCAGAATCTGTGGGACACAGATAAAGCAGCATTAAGGGATAAGTTTATAACATCAAACACCCACATCAAAAAGTTAGAAATATCTCAAATTAACAATCTAATATCACTCTTAGAGGGACTAGAGAAACAAGGACAACCAACCCCACAGCTAGGACAAGACAAAAAATAACCAAAATCACAGCTGAACTGAAGGAAGTTGGGATGTGGAAAACCATATGAAAAACCACACAAATTTAGAAGTTGTTTCATGGAAAGAGTAAACAAGATTGTGATATAGTTTGGATATGTAACCTCGCAAAATGTCATGTTGAATTGTAATCCCCAATGATGGAGATGGGAAATGGTTGGAGGTGATTAGATCATGGAGGTGGTTTCTCATGAATGGTTTAGCATCATTCCCTTGGTGCTGTTCTTGTGATAGTGAGTTATCACGAGATATGGAGCATCTCCCCTTCTCTATCCCTTGGTCCTTCTCTGACCATGTATGATGCCTGTTCCTCCTTTGCCTTCTGCCATCATTGGAAGCTTCCTGAAGCCTCCCCAAAAGCAGAAGCCACAACTTGAACCATAAGCCAATTAAACCTCTCTTCTTTATAAATTACCCAGCCTCTTTATATCAATGTGAGAATGAACTAATATAAAAATTGTTACTGGGGAGTGGGACATTGCCATAAAAATACCTGAAAATATGGAAACAGCTTTGGAACTGGGTAATGGGCAAAGGTTGGAAGACTTTAGAGGACTCAGAAGAATACAGAAAAATAAGGGAAAATTGGAAACTTCTTAGAGACTTGAATGATTGTGACCCAAATGCTGATAGTCATATGAACAGAGATGGCCAGGCTAATGAGGTCTCAGGTGGAAATGAATAACTTATTGGGAACTGAAGCAAAAATCACTTTTTTTATGCCTCAGCAAAGAACCTGGCCACATTGTGTCCCAGCCCTAGGGATCTGTGAAACTTTGAACTTAAGAATGACGATTTAATGTATCTGGTGGAATACATTTCTAAGTAGCAAAGCATTCAACATGAGACCTGCCTGCTTCTAACAGCCTGTGCCTATGTGTGTGAGCAAAAAATGACCTAATGTTGGAATTTATATTTAAAGGGGAAGCAGAGTGTAAAAGTTTGGAAAATTTGCGGCCTACTCATACGGTAGAAAAGTAAAGCCCATTTTCAGGGGAGGAATTCAAGAAGGCTGCAGAAATTTACATAAGTAAAAAGGAGCTATGTGCTAATAGCCAAGACAATTGCAAGAAGGCCTTGAACACATTTTAGAGACCTTTGTGGCAGCCCCTCCCATCACAGGCTTGGATGCCTAGGAGGATAGAATGGTTTCATGGGCCAGGTCCAAGGTCCTGCTGCCCTTTGCAACCTCTTGTTACTGCTCCCTGCATCCCAGCTGTTTCAGCTCTAGCCATGGTTTAAATGGGTCTAGGTCCAGTTCAGGCCACTGCTTCACAGGGTGTGAGCTATAAGCCTTGGTGGCTTCCACATGGTGCTAAGCCTGCAGGCACACAGAGTGCAAGAGCTGAGGCTTGGCAGCCTCCACCTAGGTTTCAGAGGATGTATGGAATGTATGGAAAAGTCTGGGTGTCCAGGCAGAAGATTACTGCAGGGGCAGAACCCTCATGGAGAACCACCACTAGGGGGGTGCAGACACAATATGTTGAGTTGGAGTCCACATGCAGAGTCCCTGCCTAGTGGAATCGTGAGAAGGGGGCCACAGTCCTCCCGAATCTGAAATGGTAGGCCCACTGAAGCTTGCACGTTGTGCCTGGAAAAGCCACAGGCACTCAACACCAGTCCACGAGAGCAGCCACAGGGGCTAAACCTTGCAAAGCCATAGGGGCATGGCTGTGAAAGGCCTTGGGAGCTCATCCCTTGTATCAGTGTGCCTTGGATATGGGACCTGGAGTCAAAGGATATTATTTTGGAGCTTTAAGATTTAATGACTACCCTGCTGGGTTGCAGACTTTCATGGGGCCTATACCCTCTTTCTTTTGGCTGATTTCTCCCTTTTGGAACAGGAATGTTTACCAAATGCCTATAGTTCTACTGTATCTTGGAAGTAACTAGCTAGGTTTTTTTGTTTGTTTGTTTGTTTTTTGACACAGTCTCACTCTGTCTGCCCAGGCTGGAGTGCAGTGGCACGATCTTTGTTCACTGCAACCTCTGCCTCCTGGGTTCAAGCAACTCTCATGTCTCAGCCTCCTGAGTAGCTGGGATTACAGGTGTGTGCCACCATGCCTGGCTAATTTTTTTTTTTTTTTTGGTAGAGACAGGGTTTCACTATGTTGACCAGGCTAGTCTCAAACCCCTGACCTCAAGTGATCTGCCCACCTTGGCCTCCCAAAGTGCTGGGATTAGAGACATGAGCCACTATGCCCGGCCTAAATCATTTTTGATTTTACAGGATCATAGGTGAAAGGGACTAGCCTTGTCCCAGAGGAGACTTTGAACTTTGGACTTTGGAGTTAATGCTGGAATGAGTTAAGACTTTGCAGGAATGTTAGGAAGGCAAAATTGTATTTTGCAAAGTGAAAACATGAGACTGGGGGTCCAGGAGTGGAATGATATGGTTTTGATGTGTGTCAACAACAAATCTCATGTCAAATTATAATCCCCAATGTTGGAGGTGGGGCCTGCTCGGAGGTGATTCGATCATGGGGGCAAATTCTCATGAATGCTTTATCACCATCCTTTTGGTGCTGTTCTTGCAATCGTGATGTGAACGTATTAGGTTAGTGGCAAGTAAAGTCAGATTAAATTGAATACTGTTTCAATTATATTAATACCAATGACTAGAAAAAAGCATTGTAGTACCCATTTTGCAGAAAGTGTGGCAACAAATCTAGGTCTAGCAACAATTTGGAATCAGTTTGGTGATTGTGTTTAATTGCAGCTCTCCTCTTTTCCTGCAGTCCAATAAGTATTTGCATGTCCATTGGCCACCATGTCCTCATGGGAGACAGTGGTGTCATTAAGTCTAGTGCTCACTTTGTAAGGTATAACGTTTGTGTCATTTTCTTCCTTATCCTTTAAGAGGCTTAAAGTTATCTGATTAAATTTAGAGTGGAAGTTGTTCTTATTGACTTTCTTGTTGATTTAAATTAAAATGTGTCAGGCTAACAGGCTGTTGAAATGCAATCATTTTATCCAAAGTTTTAAATTATTTTTATAGTAGTCAGTTAAATCTCTCTATATATCCTGCTGCTATGGGATTATAGAGTAGGTGAAAAGTCCATTCTATATCCCATTTATCTGCCAATGCCTGTGCAATTCTTCATGCAAAATGAGTTCCCTTATCACTTTCAATTATTTTAGGATTCCACAGTGAGCTATCATATATTCTAAGGCTGAGATGGTATATTTGGCATATGGATGGCTAACCACTATTATTAGGTTAATCTCTGCATATGTATCAACCATTGTTACTGCATATTTTTATGGCTGGGATAATTTAATGATCCTATAAAATCTATCTGGAAGCACAAGTTGAAGGTGCTAGGTTCGTACCTATCTATGGATGTAGAATAGCTCTACTTTAGATCAGCTTTACACTGCTCACAATTACCTTTGGCCTTTTGAATTTTGGTGCCATCTTGCTTTCAGTTTCTCATGCCCACCTGTACACTGAGCATGCACCTAATCTCTTTTTTCCTTATGTAGTTATAGTTGTGTTTATGGGGTGTCAGCTGCTTTTGTTGTCTGTTTAACTTTAAAGTCATCTCCCTATTTAATTATAATTGTTTGGTACTTGTGGTATTTCCCATTCTTTTCTCATTTTCTTTTGAGTTGAAGATGTACTACTGAATATCATGAGTTTTCTGATTTTTTGTGTAGCTTTAATTGGGGTATGTTTTGTGTGTTAATGGTTATGATTTCTGATAATGCATCTACATGGTTATATGATTTTGTGGTTTCTGAATTATCTTTTTGCTGCACCAATATAAGAATATCATAATTCTGTTTCATAATTCACATAGTTCCTCCCAATAAAATTTGGACCATATACTTTTATAATTATTTTTTACATTATTTTCTTTCCATGTTTGTAACCACCGGATTATGCCATTTGGAACTGTCATGAGTCTGCAAAAATGTAAATTTTATTTTGATTTTCTGATACCGAGTGTCTGACTGCTAGAATACCTGCAATCAGTTCTGCATGCTTTGCAGAGAGTAATTGACCTGCCTCCTTCAGGATTGTGTAGTCCTGGGGTCTGAGTGCTGCTTTTTCCATTGGGTCGGGCCTTGGGTCACAGAGGCTGATCAGTCTGTAAACCAGGTGTTGGGCAAGACATTTAGACAAGACTAGGCCCAATTTTCCTAGATTGGCATGGATTGTCCCTGTGCTTGGAATACATTCTGGCAAGCCTATTTCAGTCTTGACAGTCTCCTCTGTAAGGAGACCTGGTTGACCCTTAAAGACAGTGTCTCCACCTTGGATTTACCATTTCTATGTAAGCAATGTTGATCAATTTTATCCAGTGAAGGAGAGGCATGTGGCATCTAATTGTAATGTTGTTGCCAGTCAGAGGCTCCGTTTCTTAAGGCTTCATGCCTAAGCCATATGTATTTTCCAAATAGGCTGAATTTGTTCTTAGAGTATGGGAATTTTATTGTCCAAAATCCCACTGGTAGGAAGGTTTTAGAACTTGGTTTCTTTTTACATGGTGACCATGGACCGTGTTCTACATTCATCACTCATTAGAATTCCAACCAAGTTGTGAATCAGAAGATGCACAATGCAGAGCTTGGGATGTGGTAATGTAGTCTTTGAGTGATTCAAGTGCTTATGCTTGTTCTTGTCTCTAGGGGAAATTTTGGGATTTTCTAGTTATCTTATATATTGGTTTTAGGATGATGTTTCAAGAAGATATATGTTGTCTCCAATTACCAAATAAACACCTATTATTCTTTGTGCTTCCTGTTTATTGGTGCCCTAAGGGCTTTTATCATTGTGGTCATTATTTTTCTCCCTTCTGACAACCATTGTACTCTTAAAAATTTACGATTAGTGTCTGGGCCTATGGTTTTCTCTATATGAATAGTCCATCTCAGTGATCTTAAGTGTGTTACTAATTGTCATGTTTCCTGTTTAAGATTCTGCTGGTCATTGTTTCAGCATTGTAATGTAATCTATGTATTATATTATTAGTGATCTGTATTTTAATTGGTTTATATGTAATGATAAAATGGAGTGAGCTATTTAAATATCCTTGCATTGAGCTTTTAAATTGGTATTGTTTGCCTTCATAGGTGAAAGTGGTATATTCCTGGCTTTCCTTGTCTATTGGCATGACAAAGAGCATGTCTGAAATATTTATGGTTACATAGTAGTTTCCATTGTACTCAGTGATCTTATTAATGACTTCTTCGACATCTGGTAATTTCCTGTCATTTTAGTTGAGACTTTATTTAAATTTTTCTAGTCAATAGCTACCGTGATTTCAGAACAGGCCATAATGGAAAAGTAATTTGAAATGCCCATTGTAATAATATGTTCTTTGAGGATTTCCAGAATTTTGCTGTTATTTTTTATATCCTCCCTTTAATGGGTATTGTTTAGTATATGTAGCCTGGTGGGTTGTAGACAGTGTTAGAGGTTTCATTTTAGTCTGTGATAGGTTAGAGAATTTTCACTCCTTTAGTTTCTTTTTTTTTTTTTTTTTTTGAGACGGAGTCTCACTCTGTTGCCCAGGCTGGAGTGCAGTGGCGTGATCTCGGCTCACTGCCAGCTCTGCCTCCCAGGTTCATGCCATTCTCCTGCCTCAGCCTCCCAAGTAGCTGGGACTACAGGTGCCCACCACCACGCCCGGCTAATTTTTTGTATTTTTAGTAGAGACAGGGTTTCACTGTGCTAGCCAGGATGGTCTCGATCTCCTGACCTCATGATCAGCCTGCCTCAGCCTTCCAAAGTGTTGGGATTACAGGCGTGAGCCACTGCGTCCAGCCTCCTTTAGTTTCTTAATAGGCTGCCATAGGTTAAAAAGTTTTGGAATCCGATGCATTCCCATTGTGTTTTCTAATTTTGGTGAACAGTATAAAGTGCAAGCAATAAGTTTAGGTAATAGATTGTATAGAAGCAGAAATTTAGGAGCCTCCGGTTTTTTGGTTGTTTCCTCAAAGTACTTTATATGGACGTTTGTGTCAGAGTGTGCTGCATTGTATCTAATAAGGCTTATTTGAAATTTGGTGTCTAAAAGAAATGTGTATATATGTGCATATTTATTTGTATAGCTATTGTATATCTGTTCTGTTATCCTTAGGTTTGAGCGTTTTAGCCCGTACTTGGAGGGATTTCTAGTTGTTTAATTTTGTCTTTTGTTGTTTCTGTTTTTTAAATTTGTTGGTTCAGACTTGGACGATTGGAAGGTTGTTTTTTTTTTTTTTTTTTTTTTTTTGATGGCATTTCTCTCTTGTCCTCCAGGCTGAATTGCAATGGTGCCATTTTGGCTCACTGCAACCTCCACCTCCCAGGTTCAAGCGATTCTCCCACCTCAGCCTCCTGAGTAGCTGGGATTACAGGCGCATGCCACCATGCCTAGCTAATTTTTGTATTTTTAGTAGGGACGGGGCTTCGCCATGTTGGCCAGGCTGGTTTTGAACTCCTGACCTCAGGTGATCTGCCTGCCTCAGCCTCCCAAAGTGTTGTGATTGCAGGCATGAGACACCGCACCTGGCTAGATGTTTGGAAGATCTTTACTCATTATTTTGGCATCTGGGCTGGGCCTTAAATGGCCCTGTTTCCTTGTGTCCTTGGTTGCCAATTATTTTGTTTATGCTGTGAATTATTTTGTCTGGCTTGCAAATTTGTCTGCCTTGGTTTATTTTGCAAAGGTAAGGTAGGTCAATTTTTAATGAGTTTTGAGACTTTTGTATTGAATAAAAAGAATTTCAGTCCCTTCCTGGGTTTATTTCTTGGTGCTTTTATTAAGTTTGCTATAAATATTACCTTAGGGGTTCCTGAAGAATCTGCTAAAATTTGAACATTTCTAGTCTATCTTTTATGGTTCTCAGTGCTGAGACTGTTAATTTAGGAGACTTTCAGGTTAGGTGGTACTCAGAAGTGATCTCTTCACTTGAAGCTACAATTTCAAATGGGTGGCATATTCGTTGTATCTATCACATACCAATTGATGTGTATTGGTAGCCAAAAATGGCGAATTTTCTTGTATTTCTGTGTGCCTCATATCAAATCATTGCATTTGAGCCCATCTCCAAATATTGTTGGGTCTAAATATGGTTGGATGGATCTCCAGGCTAATGTGATTCACTACCAGAGAGACAGGGCATGCCTTGGGTGATTTTTCATCTTTAGAGATGGGTTTTCTGCTAGTGTAGTGATCTGATGCATTTCTGTGCCGGACAGTACTACAGTGTTTGGTCCATTATTCCATAGATGGACTGGCCAGTCTGCATCTGTGGTTTGTCTTTGGCAAGAATCGGTTCTTATTTTTGGAATTCTTCTCTGGTGTATTCTTTGTTCTCACTGATATACTGTGGTCTGTGATTTCCATGGTTACAATCTGTGATTCTTTTTCTAGTTGTTATGGGCCTTGCCACATAATCTCACCAGGAACCACCATAATCTACTGAGTCCTCTGGATGTGGGTGCTTTGATCCCAGGGATTCACCATTAAATGTGATATATGAGAAGAATTTACTTTCCTTAAAATTATATGAGCTATCTCTTTGCCCTTCTGGTGATTCCTGTCAATACACGAGATGTTTACATGAACAGTTCAGGAATTTCTTCCCTTGGGGTATTGCTAATCAAAAGTTTTACATTTTTAGGCTTTCTCATGACTGACCATAGATCCTCAGGGGTTTGTACAGTAAGAGTTTTCCTGGCTTCCAAAACTATTGGGCACTTAGGGTCTTCAATGCTGAGAACTGTGTTTGGCCTATGAGTCCTCTGGCATGCCTGCTCGATTTCTGTCCTAGAGCCCATATTATGCAATATTAGTTGCAAATTTATATAGTTTCTTAATAATAAATACTTTACTTTATCACCTTAACCAACCTCATACGTGGAGGTTATGCAATAATTAACTTTCCTTTCTTTCAACCAAGTAAAAAATTTGTTTTGCCAACCTCTATTGATAAGTTCCTGCTCAGTATGAGCCCTTGGGCTCCACCAGCTTCCTAGCTTAGCATCAGCCAAGACCCTGTCAGATTTTGTATTTGCATGACATGGGTGGGTTCCATCCCATCACCTAAGGTTTTCCTTGGGGAGCCAGGCTTTCAAGACTAAGTGAGATTATATCTCTTTTTAGACAGTGTGGTAGTTTCTTTGGCCAACTGACTCGATTTCTAATTAAGGTTTTATGAGAGTCCTGGCTTTAGAAATCTCCTTAATGTGGCCAATCATAGGTATCTGATTATAAATGCCAGTTTATTTTAGTTTTGGGAATTTGTCTAACTGTGGAAAACAGTTGCTGACTATGTCAATTGTTGTGAGTGGCACAAGGTCAGACATAAGCTGGTCCATGAACATTTGTGTCTTTCCACAAGGTCAGATATTCATTGATGCTGTTCCAATTGTAAAAGCCACAAGCTACATGGAGTTCCTAAGGAGGCAAATCTCCTTACTATTATCTATTAATTCCATAGTCAGAGCCATGAAGTCTCAAGCCAATCCAGAAGTCAGTCAGTATTGCAACCCATACATAGTAGTATACTAAATCAATAAATAGGTGTAATAGATGAAAAATCCCACATAAAATGACACAACATCAAAAGAAAAGAAGATAGAAAAAGGGGTTAACAAATCCATTCAAGAATAGTGACATGAACAAGAAGAGTGTCCTGCACTAATCCAGAAGGTCTTCAATGTCTTGAAAGTAAGAAGACTTGATTTGAGCAGAGGCTTTGTTGGCAGATGTTAGATGCTGATCATGAGTGGAAGCAAGATTGTGTATATGGAAACAACCATGTCCAGATGATTAAGTCCTGCTTTTTAAAAATGGTCCTTGATTCCTCTTGTGTGGACCTATAGTAAAGGGTTGTGCCTTTATTTGGTTGGCTGTAGTCTCTATTGATTAGGTGAACATCTGGTTCTTTCTGGCATGATATGTCTTTTGAAATAAAAGATGGAGTCTTTTTGTAAGATGGAATCACATATGTAAATGGTCCTCTATACCTGACAGGAATCTGTACTTGGTGTGAAGTGGGGGGTTAGAATGACAGAGAAAGGCAGGCAAACAGAAGCATCCAAGTCCATGACACTGCAAGTCGGCCAGCCTAAAAGTCCCTGCCTATCTCCTCCCTTTTCCCTCTTGAGACAAACCAACCCTGGTAATTCTCAGGGACATCCCCAGAGGGCAGTGACCATCCTCAATTGTTCTGATTTTCATCCTAACAGAAAGACCAAGTGGGCTAGAGTAACATTTTAAGAAAATAGATCCAGACATTTAAAATTACTCCACACAGAATGCATTCTTGGAGGAGCTACTCCTGTCTCATTTATTGACCTTCCCTCCCTCCCTGCCCAGTCCTTCCATGGTCTGCCCTTCCTGCTCCTGACTTCTCACACAACTCATCCCAGTAGTCCTTCAAACCCACAGCCCTCTTCTCATGCTCTGGCCTGTGCCATGGACACACTTGTTCATACTTTCATGTTAACAAAATGGCTGGGCTTTGTGTTCCAGAAAGGAACCTCAGTGTACTGTCTACAGGAATCAATGCTGTCTGTGTCTTTCACAATTAGAACAAACTACACCCATAACAGAGACATACAGAGCTCTGTAAGCATGAGATTCTGAGCAACTTTTGTCTCATCATTCCCAGAAAACTCCATTCCTCTCTTTTACAACTAGAGGCAGTTCAGAGAAAATTTCTGAAAAGACTAAAACAGAGAATGTGTAAAATCTTTCTTTACTAAAAGAGTAGTATTCTCATTCAATTTAGAAAAGCATGCTGCATGAAAAGATGAAAATAGTTGAAAATATATTTCGTAATATAATTATGAATGAATCATTAGACACAAGATTAAAGGCATTAACACACAATACAAAAGTAGAAATGTGGCTGTGGATAATGTTTCCACAGTTTTTTTTTTAAATTAATTTTTACAGAAATATTAAAGGTATTTGCATGCAAAACCTAGAACTAAGAACAAATATTTCAAGGAATTGTCTGAAGTAGAAGCTTGTCATTGATCAGAAAGCAGAATGATTGTTAAATGGCCTCAATTTTTATACAAAGGAATGGAAATCCTTAAATAACCTTAGAAGGAAGGAAGAAAGCAGTTGGGCCTGCAGACCCACAGTGAGGCTATGGATTCAGCTCTGCCTTCTCCTCCATCACCCTTGGTGGGCATAGTCTGAAGGAGGAGGATCTCACCTAATAGGTCCTCTGCACTTGCGCAGGAGTCACACAGGGATATCTGTAGACTCCTGCCCTGTTCACTATTGCTGCTTACAAAGAAATTTTCCTAGACTCCGGAAAGCAGAGAAATAAAATCAGGAGGCATGAAGTTGAATGAAATTCATTTAGAATATACTAATAACACAGGGAATGGTGTGGGGGGTTTTCTAAGATGCACAAGGACCTTAGAGACATAAGCATGAACAGCATTGTTTTAGAGTTCTGTTCCACGAAAGGGACATATATGCAAAGAAGCCCCCAAATGCTGAAGGAGCCGAGAAACCAAAGGATGAAGCAAACAATCCAGTTTGTCAATTTTGTACTTTTGCAAGGAAAGGCCTGCAACAATCATGTGGAAGTATCTACAGATATTTCTGTCCCAAGCTTACTGGCAGTGGTCCAACTTAGTCTATCTCCCAGTCCCTCACAGGAGTGGCTGTCTAATGTAGATGTCCAGGTGTATGTGGGAGGCGGTGGGGGTGCAGGCAGGAGCAAACTAAGCCATTTGTTACCATTGCCACTAAATCTGCATAGCATAGGGGCAAGTCCCTTCCCTTTGCTATTTGCCAGCCCACTCATGCACTGTGATGTCCATTGTGTTTATGTACCCAACCAGCTAGCTCAGAAGATTGAGATATAGTGTTCTAATTTTTGCTAGGGTATCAGCTTTCACATTACCTGGGAATGAATCTGACTAGTTTCCTAAAATATGATACACAATTAGGCTTGCAGTGGGTTCTTGTAACCTTTCCCAAATGTCTTTCCACATAGCAGCTCCCCACACGGGTTTTTTTAAAGTCCATGCTATTCACCCAGGGCCTATTCAGCAAGCGAAGTCATAAGACCCTTTAATACTGCCCAACTATCTCTACAGAGAACAGTCAGCCATGGCTCATGAGTACAAGCCAACTGTGCAGCTCAGAGTTTTCCCCATTGACTGCTTTGCTGCATTCCCATCTCAAACCCAACAGTATTTGTCTGCAATTGCACAGTTACTGCCATACATACACAATGGTTACCCTGGCTACATCCATCTAAGTGCCAAGTGTTTTCAGGAATAGGGGCCGTGCCTTTGTGTACCATTAGAGCCATCTCCAGCGGGGGCTCCACAACAGGGGCAGCACTGGTCTCATAGTATCCTGGCCCTAAGAGAGCATGCATCTCCCAAGGGACCCATGGAGAGGACATTGCATTGTTGCAGGTATGCATGCCACTTTTGTGAAGTGGCGCCTTGAGAGATAACTAGTACAGGCTTGAAAAACAACCCTTCCATCCAGCCCTTAATAGAGAGATCTGTTCTCATTGTTACTGGCAAATGATCAGTTACAGGTTCAATATGCTAGAAGGCTTTACACACTCCCAGGACCTGCTGTTTAATTTGAGAACGGTAGGTTTCAGCATACTCCCATAAGGCTGTGACCAGAATCCTAGAAGAACTGCTTTGCTATGCTGAACATGCCAGAGGATCTCTCTTGTCCCTTCAGGATTTATGGTCACACCTAAAGATATTTGTATCCCAGTAAGAAGGAAACCTAAGGCTTGTGCCCAAGCCTCTAATATTTTAGCCTTCTCAAATGCTTCTTCTAGTTCTTTATCCCAGAACCAACTAGATCCCCTCTTAACTAGTGAGTACAGGGGATGCAAACATTGAGCTAAATATGAGATGAAAGCCCACCAGTATCCCAAAAGATCCAGGAAACTTTGTATCCGTTTAACTGTTTTTGGCATGGAAAATTGTTGAATTTTCTCAATGACTAAGCCTGGAATAGGTGTGTCTTACTTGACCAAGTGACCCTGAGGAATTTTGCAGCCAGTTCTGGGCCTTGTATCTTTTGTGGGTCGATGGCCCAACCTCTGGATTGAAGAAGGGTGCACAAAACATCTCGGTGTTGCTGTAGCAATGACAAGTCTTCAGAAGTTAGAATATTATCGATATAATGCCTGTGAGTCAGGATGAAGGGGTGCTAAAGAAGGCAATAGCTAAATCTAACACAGCATGATAAGTGCCTATGTTTTGTATTATTTGCTCAATAACTTGAGTTATATTTGGCACAGCAGTCCAAACCCATTGGTGGAATCCCCCCACAGATGTTTGTAGAGTTCATCCTAAAAGGACATCCATACCCGAGATGTCTTCTGAAATAAGTGAGATAAAGACAGAAGGAGAGTAAGCAAGGAGGGACTCCAGACAAAACTAAGGAGGAGAGGGGTTTGTTTCACTCAGATTTTTTACCCCACAACCATGTATAGCTCCCCACTTGCCAGGGTGTCTCTCTGGATTTCCATGAATTAAGATACAATCTGCACCTGTGCCCACTAAAGCGAAGGTTCTTTTTGTGCTTTTTTGGACTCCGAAAGTCAGCTCCAAATGGGGCCTCTGGTTGCCCCCTATTGCTCTTACACAGAGGCAGCCCTGACCCCACCCACGATCTCCAGGCTGCAGAGGAGTCCACCCCTAAATGCAGAGATTGGTGTTCTTTTACCCAGAATTTCTTCTTTTCATTCTCCCTCTTTTGGTAGGTAATAGGAAGGGGTCTAAACTGTTGATTGGGAGTCAGGACTTTCCAAAGGCCACCAATATGGCATTGGGTTGCCCATGCATATTATCTTTGTCTACCCCAGCTGAAATCAGATCATACCACATTTGTTTCCTACTAATCCTAATGGCCTTTTTGACCTCCCTTTTTCAGTCCAGTAGACTGTTTCTCCCTTTTTCTCATTTCTTCAGTAACCAGTCAGAGCTCATCTCTTTCCTTACTAGTTTCTCCAAAATCACAAATGGCTTTCCCCATATCTTGTCCCCCACAAAAGGGGACATGCTATTCCTAGGGGGCACTTTGTCTTTTTTTTTTAGCTTTACTCCCATTTAGAGAGATACCATTCACACCAGTGTCCCATAGCTGCACCATTCATATACATAAAGCTTTGTCTTGGCAGCTGTTTAAAAGTTTTGGCTGTGTCCAATAATCCTGCCCAGGCCTGTGTGTGTTTGAATTTTGCTTTCCACTGCATGAAGAGTTTCACTCTCAAATGGGAAGAATAATGATCTTCCTATTTTTGAGTTAACCTCTATGTCATCATCTAGTTGGTTCCCAAGAATTCCAGGTATTTGCATCCCAGCATGGTTTGACAAGGACAGCCCATAAATTCAGCTGGCACAGCTTTCTCTCTCCCAGACATACAAAGTGGCGAGGTACGGTTTCCAACTGTGCCTCTTGAGTTTCAAGCTTATCCAGAAAACCAGACATTAATGAAGATGTGGAAGTTCTCACATCCCTTTCTCACTGTGATTCTCTTCCCAGCTTCCCTACACTCGCCTCAGCTGCACCTGTGCTTTTGTGAACACTCACATAGAAAATAACAGTAGCAAACTCACTGCTGTCACTGTGCAGCAACTTTTGTTACCACAGTGAGCCACACTTTTTACTAACAAGCTTTCTAGACCCTGCAGCATTTTAGGGGTACTCCTGTTTTCACAGTAGTCCACAAGCATATAGCAAATGGGTGACACCACCCAACATGAATGAGCAAGGCTACCCCTGAAGTTTCCTCTGTGACTGCTTCTTTTCCCTTGTGTGTACTTTGGTTTCTTGACTGCTCCTTGCTGACCATTTGTTCTGTGAAAGGGCCATATGTACAAAGTGAGCGTTAAACATCAAAGGGGCCGAGAAACCAAACAAGGAGGCAGAAAATCCAGTTTGTCAGTACTGGTTAATTTACTGGGGGAACTTATAGGCAGAAGCACAGCCTTAGGTGGCCACATTACAGGCAGATGTTCACACTGTTACTCTGTAGACCCAGGGCTAATACTCCACAGAGAAAAGGTATACATGCTTCAGCAGGACAATTAAAAGCAACCTTCCAGAACACACAAGGATGCTACATGTGCCATAGCCTAAAATTCATACAATAACATCCAGGTTGACATGATCTTACACTAAACAAATAAATGAGTAATCAGAAGGCATTTATGGGACTGGCATTAATCAGAAGTCAACATGGTGGATTAGTATCCAAGACGGGTCACTTTTGTCTCCATAAGTTCTATAACCTCCTCTTTTTTCAAAATACAACTGGGAATATTGGTGTAGGTGCAAGGCATGGAAGTTTTTACTCTCCTGTCTTCAGTATCACAGTCATGAAGAGAACAGTCTCTGGAGGGAAAATTCTGGGCTCTGGAGAGTGTGAAAGGAATTCTTCAAAAAATGAAAGAGTATAGTATTTGAAGACAGATGTAGAAATCAACTAATGAAAACAACAACAGAGCTGAAAAAATGACACATGCATATATAAACAAAGTCAAAAGTAATGAAAAAAGATGAATTTTAAATATGCATTTCAGGATATTGAATATTCATCTGGAGAAATAAAATTTACTTTTAAACTCATTTTATGCACAAAATCAATTTCAGGTGGCTCATAACCTATATATGAAAAAGAAGAATTCATTACAGTATTCAGAATTTAATTTAGGAAAATAAATTCATTACAATAGGGTAGGTAATCTTAAAAAGCACCTGGAAACTATTTAGCCTATGAGAAATGTTATTCTAACATAGTTGATGTGAGTAAGGACACCGTGTCAAGCTCAAGGTTGTTCTTTTCCTTTCCTGTAGGGATTTAGCTCAGATTCAGAGCTAGAACTTTCAGAAGGTAGTAGTGTCAACCTCTTGAGATGTTGTATGCTATTAGTCTACACATTTTGGGTATTGTGTAAACTAATAGCACATGTGAAAGGAAAATAAAATATAAAGACATCAAACTCACTATGCTCAAGAGAAAATTAGGCTTGGGAACTGAGTCATGCAAACAGACTTCCTTTTGTCCCCAAACAGAGAGCTGTAATTATACATGTTTACTTAATCTTTTGCAAAATGTAGATCTACAGAACATGACATGAACGCATAATTGACTTTCCCTCCACTTCTCTATTTTGAAACATAAAATGTGGATTCAATGGGTGCTAATTAATGCCTCACAAAAAATGTAACCACTTGCCTCACCGCCTACTCGACTTTTTCCTTTTTTCCCCCCTTCCCCTACTGTCTACTTTTTCCCCTTTAAATACTGAAGTCATCAGAACCCACTTGGAAAAAGCACAGGCCACAGACCCTACTGTAACTTGTGTTTCTTTTTCGTGGGTGCATCCTCAACCTTGGCAAAATCAAACTCTAAATTGATTTAGACCTGTCTCAGTCACTATTTCCAGCTTCATCCATGTACCTGCAAAACTCATGAAGTCATCAAGATATAAATTCTCTCTTACTTCACCTAAGAGTTGTCCCTTTAGAAATGCAAAGTTAAGGTCACCTAGCCAACAACTGTGTAGGGCAATGAAATAGGTAGTTGAAAAAGATTGTTCATCTAAAGGAGGTGAAAGAAACTTCAAATACAAACTCTTCATAAATCTCTACGATCTGCTTCTGACTATGCGTATGTCTATGAATTTGTAAGTGTCATATAAATGTGATGATTCACTAGCAAAATATATAAAAGATTTAATTAATTGGCATAAAAAGTGTTTAGCTCCAATATTTTATCAGAAAAATAAAAAATAACTCAAATGTCTTTTAGTTCAAATGACTTTAATAATCTTTAGTAAATAAAGCTAATTTAAAAATTATTGGCACAGAAAAAATTCCGCACACCTACAACCAGATGATCTTCAACAAAGTTGACAAAAACAAGCAATGGAGAAAGAACTCCCACGTTCAATAAATGGTACTAATGTAACTGGCTAGCCACATGTAGAAGATGGACACTAGACCCTTCTTCATACCATATGTTTAATATTAAAATCAATTCAAGATGGAAAAATGACTTAAATATAAAACCCAAAACTATAAAAACCCAGGAAGATAACCTAGGAAAATAAACTATTCTGAACACAGATCTTGGGAAAGATTTCATGATGATGACACCAAAAACAATTACAAAAAAAAAAACCACCACAAAAATTGATGAATGGAATGTAACTAAACTAAAAAGGCTCTGCAGAGCAAAACAAACTATCAACAGAGTAGAATGAGAGAAAATATTTGCAAACTATGCATCCATAAAAAGTGGGCAAACGGTTGAGTGTGGTGGCTCTCACCTATAATGTCAACACTTTGAGAGGCCAAGGGAAGAGGACTGCTTGAGTCCAGAAGTTTGAGAGCAGCCTGAGCAACATAGTGAGACTCCGTCTCTACAGAAAAATAAAATTAGCCAGGTGTGGTGGTGCATAGCTATTCAGGAGGCTGAGGTAGGAGAATCACTTGGGGGCATGGGTGGTTGAAGCTGCAGTGAGTCATGATTGCACCATTGGGTTCCAGCCTAGGTGACAGAGTGAGACTCTATCTCACGCACACATAAAATTTTTTAAAAGTGCAGAGGACATAAACAGACACTTTTCAAAAGAAGACATACCCATAGCCAACAAGCATAGGAAAAAATGCTCAACATCACTAATCATTAGAGAAATGCAAATCAAAAACCACAATAAGATACTATCTCACACCAGTCAAAATGACTATTATTAAGGAGTTAAAAAATAACAGATGCTGGGTGAGGTTGTGGAGAAAGGGGGATGCTTATACACTGTTGGTTGGAATGTTAACTAGTACAGCCACTATGGAAAGCAGTGTGGTGATTTATCAAAGAACTTAAAGCAGAATTGGCATTCGACCCAGCAATCCCATTATTGGGTATACGCCAAAGGAATATAAATCATTCTACCATGAAAACACACGCAGGGTATGTTCATTGCAGCACTATTCACAACAGCAAAGACATAGAATCAACCTAAATACCCATCAATGGAAGACTGGATAAAGAAAATGTGGTATGCATACACCATGGAATACAATGCAGCAATAAAAAGAATAGATCATGTCCTTTGCAGCAACATGGATGGAGCTGGCGGTCATTATCCTCATCAAACTAATATAGGAGCATAAAACCAAATACTGCATGTTCTCACATATTATAAATGAGAGCTAAACATTGAGAACACATGGACACAAAGAAGGGACCAAAAGGCACTACAGCTTACCTGAGGGTAGAAAGTAAGAAGAGAGAGAAGACTGAAAAACTACCTTTTGGGTACCACACTTATTGCCAGGACAATGAAATAATCTGTGCATCACACCTCCATGACGCACGCTTTACCTATAAAACAAACCTACTCACGTACCCCGAACCTAAAATAAAAGGCAAAAACATAAAATTTTTGGTAAAAATAAAATTTAAATGTCTTTAGAATTATTTAAATATTTTGTCTGAATAGTCAAGCAGGTCAGATACTGTTTTAGCTAGATGCTTTAAGGCTGTAAACTGCTCCTGTGATATTGGTAATAATTATTTGACTTGTCTTGCTTGTAGCCATAGTAAGTCCAAGGGATATGTGGAGTTCTTAGCCCAACTGTGCCCTCTGACTGTACTGGGAAGGGTGAGACATTATCTGCATCTCTGCCTTTTGTCCTGGGCTTTGCATCTGATAATAAACAAAAAAAACAATGCTTACTTCTTAGGTTTTTCACTAAAAATCAGAGTTGCTGACAGTTAAAATTACAATTAATATATGTAGTTAAATCTACTAGATACATGCAAAGTTTTAGGGAAAGTAAGATGTATTTTCAGAAAAAAAATTATACGACAGCATGTGAATACGTGTGTGTGTTTTTTTTCACAGAGGGTGTGTTACAGTTGTCTTTAAGCTCTGCTGTCCACGGGTGGCCTAAGTGTTAATAGCTCAGTGGGCCCTCTGCCTTTTCATGTGAGGTGGCTGCCCTCCACCAGCGAGGGCAAAGGGCCAGTGTGACAGCCTTCTGTATACACACTTGAGGCTCCCTAGGTCTTGTGTGGCATCCAGGAAAAATGAGGTTGCACAAACAAATTTAAGGATGCTAAATGTGGGGGATTTTATTGCTAATAAAATGGCTCTCATTGAGAAGGAGAGCTGAAGAGGGAACGGGGAGGCAGGTAATCTTCCCCTGAAGGCTGGCCATCTCCACCTGAATTCTTATCTGAAGTTATGCTATCGAGCTGTCCCTCTGAAGTCAAGCTGCTTCTCTTCTACATCCAGCCATAGTCCCTGATGTCCAGCTGCTTCTCTCTGTTGGCTGAGTCTAGGGTTTTTATAGGCACAGGATGGGGTGGGGTGGGCCATGGGTGGTTTAGGAAAAGGTAACATTCAAGCAGGAAAACAGGTATATAAGTTCGCACTTTGGACCACAGTCTCAGGCTTTTTTGCTTGAGGGTGGGGCTTTACTAGGGACCTCTGTCTGCCTAGAATTTCTCTGCCTTTTGTTGCTATCACAAGCACCTGTAAGTATCATTTGCATCAATTATAAAAATACAACATTATTTTATGTCACAATAAAAACACAAAACCATTGAAAAACTGTAACACAGAAACTTTTTATCACTTAGAAAATACATATATATTGAAAATAACTATTTTGAACTTACATAAATGTGGGTAATGGTCTTATATCACTCCTATGATCACATAAGATAAAAAAAGAAAGGAAAATAGGTAACAAGTGTTTTCTAAAATGTCACATACTTAGATCAAACTCTTCTGAATCACTTTTCAATTCACCTTGTCCATGATTTCTCTTATGTTAGCATCATCTCTGATGACTAGAAGCTTTGCTGATGCCACACTTATTGCGAGAGTACCATAAAACTTTCTGTTAGATTATTTTTCTGATCTACCAATATCACTCTGCAAGTTCTAATGTTTAACGATATCACCAGAATGTGAAAATGGAAGTGTTTTTTACACCAAGTTTATATGTGTGCACAAAAAAGCAATCAAATTATGCCTGTCTTCTGACCAATCGTGTTTTTAACAACATTAATTTTATGATACATCTCTATTTGAAAGATGTACAAATATGCCCTTTAAAACAAATAAAACACACTATTTTTCTTTGTGACTGCCTCTTTCTCAGTATAAAATCATGGTGTCTCATCTTATGTATTCTGGTCTATTACTGAGGAAAAGTTGAACAACTTGATTTAACTTCTACCCCAGGATTAGAGATATCAGTGTTATTAGTGAACTACTCAAATTTCTATTTTAAATATTGCTGTGAATTCTTTTAATTTTATAATGCCTAGTCCTTCATTTTGGATATAGGTTTGACTTGCTAATACCAGAAACGAGGTTTAGAAATCCATGGCGTTTCCATTTTGCACACTCCTCTAAGTCCTCAATGTAGTCATTCCAGATATCGCCTTATAAAACCTCCCCCAGGTGACTACTGCATGTAGAACAGCTGGACACAACCCTTATCTCACCCACACTGACCCCTGTGGGAACTGCACAGATATTCTGCAGTAACCACCTCTCAGGCACAGCATGAGTCTTTGGAAATCATGCTTGCTTGACCTTAACTCACCAATTTGAACCCCTCATGAGAAACCTGCTTAGGTAACACTCCAAAACCCAATTGTGATATTTCGTTTTTGGAGTCAACTAACTGTATTAAGGAATACCTAGAACACTGGCAAAGAATTACTTCTGGGTCTGTGAGGGTTTTATCATAAAAGTCTGATATGTGAGTCAGTGGACAGAGTGGGGAAGATACTGTGATGGATCAGGGACCCCTGTGAGGAGGCTTTGGGTTCCCCAAGCAGGGAAATAAAGGAAAATCTCAAGTTCCTTCAAGGAAAATCCCCGGTACCTAGCTAGCACTAAGAAGTACATGAGGAAAGTGATAAGCAAGAAGGTAATAGTAGCCCAAGGACTTTAGAGTCAGGAGACGTTTGTTTGGTTCCCTGTGGAAACCAAAGATAACATCTTAACATATATTCCTGAGTCATTTTTCATAAACCTAGGCCCCCATCAAATGGATCTGCTGATATGTAGACCTCAAATAAGGGGGACCTGAAGACTGAACTCTGACTGCCATTCTTTTTCCTTAATTTCTTCCTGAGGGGCCTAGAGGGAGTCACATCCATGAGTCACAGCTAACATTTTTTTTTTCTGCTGACCCCAAGTTTTAAAACAAAGCTTCTCTTCTTTAATCAATTGCAAGTTAGAAAATCCTTGAATCTGCCTATGACCTATGAACCTCTGTTTGACCCCTGCTTCAAGATATTCCACCCTTTAAGGCCAAAACCAATGTGTAACCTCCATGTATTGATTTATAATTTTACCAGTAACTTCTACTTTACTGAAATTTACCCTGCTATTAAAAACCCTTATGTACAAGACATTGGGGAGGTAGAAATCTAAGCATTAGCTGCCTGATCCTCCTTGTTTGACACTCTTCAATTGAACACCTCTTTTTCTCCCACCGCAAGTGTCAGTGTAGATATCTGTGTGAACAGACCTGAGTTGGGTTCTGTAACAATCCACCCTCTATGTGGGTAAGCACCATCCAGTGGGATGGGGGCTCAGATGGAACAAAAAAAAAGAAGTGAGAATGATTTTGCATTCCCTCTCCCCTGGAGCTGGTACATTCTCTGCCTCCTGCCCTTGGACACCTTAACTACTGGCTCTCTGTCCTTGGGATTCCAGGACTTACTTCTGCAACCCTTCAGGTTCTCAGGCCTTTGACCTCAGACTGAGAATTACACTGTCAACTTTCCTCATTCTGAGACTTTCAGCCTTAGAATGAGCCATGCTACTACTCCACCATCTGCCAATCTATGTATCTATCCTATTGGTCTGTCTCTCTGGAGGACACTAACACAGATTTTTTTTTTCTTTAAACCATGAATGGCTGTAGAGAGCCAGAATCGTAAGGATGTTTTATTTATTTGTTTTGGGGATTTCTAAAATTGGGTCTCTAACCTGATGATAAGTAAAAATGCTGAAGACTTCTAATAGTATGGAGACCACTGATAGTCCACATCATGAACTGCTTAAGTGACATGCAAACATCTGCCTTTGGCACTCCTAATCAACCATTGGTAACAGGCAAGGCATTTAGTGACTCTTGATAGCATATCTTCAAACATCTATGGAAAACTAAGGACTCTGCTATTAGTGTTGCTGAGCAAAGGGAAAAATAAAAAAGAGAAGCTAAAAGATTCAAATTCAGAATCCAGCTCCACATAAAAAACAGAGCTTCTATCTATGCTCTGAGGTTAGAATTGTATCTCCTGTAGTCACAGGGATGAAAATGCTGAAAATCAAATGCAATCCCATGCCATGCAATTGGCTAAATTACAATGAAAGTTGCACTTTCAGCCTAGCATGGTGTCTACTGTAAATTTAGAGCACTGTTTAGGAAAGAATGGGACCCTGTAAATTGGGTTGGGAACATTTGGGGAGACCATGTTGAGGCTGGAGACATTGGGCTCTGAAATTCTGATGTCTTCTTTGCCAGCAGAAGTGGCCCCTTAAACCCACCCCCTTGGCAGTGGTCTCCCCGTCTTCATTGGTATAAGCAGTTCTGTCTGAAGGGATTAACCCAGGCTTAACTGAGAAAAGGTAATGGACTTCCCGGAGGCAGTTGCCAAGTAATGCAATGATGATTCTCCTCAGGACCCACCTCGTTTTCCTTCTAGACCTATCATTAGTCCTGAGTTCCAGTAGGCCTTTAAAGGTGATACACCTTATATGTGTGACCCATGGGAGGTTCATTACAGTCCAAGAAAACAATTTCAGTTTTCTAATTTGTATAACCAAATCTGTGGGACTCGTGTGGAAAAGAATATTAAGTGTTGGGATAGTGGTGGAGGAAACATAAAGTTGGATCAAGCCAAATTTATTTATATGGGCCCATTATACAAAGATTGTGGTTTTAATGTATGGTAGTTAGAAAGGGCTTTAACAGTTTGTTTGATTGGTTGGTTGAATCATGAATCAAAAGGTGGCCCTCCTTCATCCAGCTGGATATGCCTGATCTCCCTTGACTTAATGTAGAGGAAGAGATTCAAAGGCTTAGAATGAATGGGACTCTAGAGTGCATTTGACATTTGAAATTCTACTCAGCCACACCTGGAGGGGCCAGAAGACACACCTTTCACCAATGCTGTGAGAAACAGATTTGTGAGTGGAGCCCAAGCATCCCTAAAGAACCTCCTGATTGCTCTTCTCTGTAGGCTGAATCTTATAATGAGAACCACAGTCACTCAACAGGAAAATTTAAATGCACTGGGAATAACTGGATCCCAGGGGTCCTGGGTCTATTCGGTAGCTGCCAACCTTCAAAGTCAAGATTGGCATAGTTACCATCATAGTCATCAAAGGTAAGGGAATATTCAGGTTAGTCTGACTCAAGTAGATCTATGGTGTTGGCCACATGGTGTTCTTAGAAATGAAATAGGTAAGAAGCCTAAGACTTTCTTAATCGACCTGAAAAGACTGAAAACATTTAGGTTAAGTGAACAAAAGTCTAATTCAAATCATAAAAGTAGAGAAACATAGCCCATACTCAATCCCAGACTTGAGCCAGCTTACAGTCAAGAATGCCTTGAATGAAGTGGAAACTAGGTCCCCTTGATGAAGGACCAAGGTATACCATGAAAACTTTATACTGTTAGTCTTCTCCTATCCTTCCCCAAAGGAACCTACAACCTTTAACCAGGGTAAATGTGTTTTATGGAAATGAATATAGTAAGAACTTTTAGGGGACTACTAGACACTTGCTCTGAACTTACATTGATTCCAGAAGACCCAAAACATCACTGTGGACCACCCAGTCAGAGTAAGTGATTATGAAGGTTAAGTGATTAATCAAGTTTTAAATCAAATCACAGTGGGGCCAGTGGGTCCCCAAACACTTACTCTGGTGATTTCCCCAGTTCCAGATGCATAGCTGTAATAGACAAACTTAGCTCCTGGCACATTTCCCACACTGGTTCCCTGACCTGTGGAGTGAGGGCTAGTATGGTGAAAGCCTAAATGGAAGGCACTAGAGCTGCCTCTACCTAGGAAAATGGAAAATCACATTCATAACCATATACCTGGAAGGATTGCAGAGATTACCACCACCATCAAGGACTTGAAAGATGCAGGAGTTATAGCCTCCTGGATGAATCCATTCATTCATGGATTTACATATTAATGGATTATCATGTGAGAGCAACTGTTGGCCTTATAAGAGAAAAACAGACCTTCACTAGCATGCTCAGACCCTCAATCAGCTGATACCCTGCATGGCCTAAGGACTCTTCTGAGAGTCCCTACCAGCAAGAGGCCCTCACCAGATGTGGCCCCTAAACCTTAGACTTACCAGCCTCCACAACTGTAAGAAATACTTTTTTTTTCTTTACAAGTTACCCAGTTTTTTTTTGTATTCGTTTACAAGCAACAGAAAAGGGACTAATATGGAAAACTGGTAACAATTAGTGGGGCATTGCTGAAAAAGAATACCTGAAAATGTGAAAGTGGCTTTGAAACTCAGTAATGGGCAGAGACTAGAAGAATCTGGAGAGGCAGAATATAAAAAGCCGGTGTTCTTGTGAGGATTTAGAAGATAAGAAGACTAGGAAAAATTTAGGAGTCCTTAGAGATTGACAAAGTGGTTGTGACCAGACTGCTGATAAAAATATGGAAAGTAAAGGCTATTCTGACAAGATTTCTGATGTAACAAAGAAAAAAGTATTAGTCAAGAACTGGAGTCAAGAACATCTCTGTTAAAAATTGGCAAATAACTTGGCTGAACTGCGTTCATGGCTAAGGGCTTTGCGAAAGGACTAACTTCAGAGTGATGAACTGGGGAATCTGGCAGAAGATATTTTTAAGGTGCAAAGGGTTCAGGCTGTAGTGTGGTTACTTCTAACCACTTAAGGTGAACTGGTAGAGAAAATGTAAGTACAAAAAAAATTGTGGAAAACTGCAGCCTGGCCATGTGGTAGAGAGAATGAAAGAGCATTTGCAGGAGAAAAAATTAAGGGTGTCAGAACCACAACTTGCCAGAGATTAGCATGGCTAAAATGGAGCCAGTTGTTAATAGACAAGACAATGAGAGAGAGGCCACACAGCAGTTCAGTTTTCTTCCAGACAGCCCTTCCCATTACAGGCCCAGTGGCCTAGGAAGACAGAAGGACTTCTGGGGACAGGCTGGCTGGGCCACTGTCCTGTACCACGTCAGGGTGCTAATTCCAGCTGCATTGGCTCAAATGCCCAAGGTGATCTGGCTCTGAAAGGTATAAGGCCCAGACCTTAGAGGTGATCATGTGGTGATAATTATATAGGCTTACAGAAATGAAGAACTGTGGAGTCTTGGCAGCCTCCACAAATTTCAAAGGATTTCTTCAAAAGCCTGGTAGTCTAGAGACTTGTGATAAGGGCAGATCTACTGAAGAGAGCCCTCTATAGAGGGATACCAAACACAAATGTGGAACTGGAACTGCTGCAAAGAGTTCACCAGGGGCCGGGCACGGTGGCTCACGCCTGTAATCCCAGCACTTTGGGAGGCCGAGGCGGGTGGATCATGAGGTCAGGAGATCGAGACCATCCTGGCTAACAAGGTGAAACCCCGTCTCTACTAAAAATACAAAAAATTAGCCGGGCGCGGTGGCGGGCGCCTGTAGTCCCAGCTACTCGGGAGGCTGAGGCAGGAGAATGGCGTGAACCCGGGAAGCGGAGCTTGCAGTGAGCCGAGATTGCGCCACTGCAGTCCGCAGTCCGGCCTGGGCGACAGAGCGAGACTCCGTCTCAAAAAAAAAAAAAAAAAAAAAAGAGTTCACCAGGGCAATGCCAAGCGAAGCCGCGGAAGTGAGGTCCCTGCAGAGAGTCCTCATATGAGTAATGCCTAGTGAAGCAGAGGAAGTGGTACCACTGCCAGAACCCCAGAAGTGTCGAGTCTGCATGCAATGCCTGCCTGGGAAAAACCTGAGGTAGCTGACTGCAACCAGTACAGCACCCATGGGGACTCTACCAAGCAAAGTCATAGAATAACACTGCCTGATGTTTTGTGAGTCCAACCCTCACCCCAGTGTGTTCAGAAGTCAGATACAGAGAATAAAATATATTCCAGGTTTAACATATAATGTTGACCCTGCTGGATTTTGAACTTGCTTGGGACCTGTTACATTTTAAATTTTGTCTATTTCTCTCTTTTGGAACATGTACATTATTCTTATCCTGAAATCACCTTTAAAAAATTATGAGAAAATTATTACACCCAAAGAGATATGACCTAACTGACTCCATCTTGTTTTTAACTTCCAAGCTGCCCTTGTTCATTCCTAGGCAAAGGCCAAACTAACTTTAAGAGGAATTTAGTTTATAGCTTAGCTTTGAAAAAAAGATAATAAAAGCCCCTCAATGAAATAAACCTGCTCATTGCTTGGGGACCAGATGGCCTTTGTAAAACCAAAAAATTAAGCACAAGAATAGAAAGTATGGCTCAGGAGTCACACAGCCAGAGGCGACAAGATTACTAACCTCCCAAATTGTTCCTAGAGATAACAATAATATCGTAAAACCTAAGATTGGTGTTTGCAGTATTTTTCAGACCCAGCATTCTGATGAATCAGCTGGTACTACCCAAACCAGTAACCTGGCTCATCTGGACTTGTGGCCCCCCACCCAGGAACTGACTCAATGCCAAAGGACAGCTGTTGCTCCCTGTGATTTCAACCCTGACCCAACCAGTAAAAATTCTCCATTCTCTAGCCCCCTGCCCACCAAACTCTCTACATAAAACCCTAGCCTCTGAATTTTTGGGGAGGCTGTTTTGAGTAATAAAAAACTGTGGTCTTCCATTAGCCACCTCTATGTGTATTAAATTCTCTCTCTATAGCAATTTCCCCGTCTTGATAAATTGGCTCTATCTGGGCAGCAGCGGAAATGAACCCATGAGGCCATTACAAATTGAGGAGCTCATCTGGGATAGCCCTTGTGGGTACCTGCCCATGGTTCTGCAGCCCCTCACCAGTGGCAGACTGGAGGCCAGCAAGTGTCCGCCTAGGTCTCTTGAACTAAAGACTGCCTCTGGCACACTCTCTACCAGTGAGCTACTGTTGACCATAATGCATGGATCAAATTGCAATGGATAGTTCCTGGAAGACACCTTTTAACCTGGTTTGGTGAGTGTTCCCCTTCTCCTGATTTGTTGGTCCCCTTAGAGGCATTGCAGCTCCATCGTAGAAACTGTCCAACTCTTTCTAAGTTTGTAGAAAGAGTCTCTGTTGACCTTCAAGGCAAAGTAGCCAGGTCAAGGGGACTGTTTATCTCTCGCTAAATTGTAGGAAGAGTCTCGGTTTTGGACGACTTATCCCCCGTTAGATGGAAACGGGGGACTTGTTGGAGGAATACTCTTCTGGTTTGGAATCTAGTCAGATGTGTTGGTTTGGAAGGCCCTCTGTTTTTCTTTATTTCATCATGTGTGTTTGTATATGGGGAGATCTCTGAAGGAACTGCTGATAGCAGTCTTGCTTAGTTTGATCACTCACATTTGGTGAGCCCTTAAGGAATTGTTAGCAGGAGCTGAACAGAACTAACTCAGGGTGACCATCCACACTTTCATCTTGCCTGGAGACCTCCCATTGAAACTCCTGGTCAGAAGTCATCCCTCCCCACTTTGAGTGGATCACAGACGACAGGGGACAATGGGTACAAGTTTGAGCTTCGCCAGGTTAATACCTGGGTGCTAAGTGGAGTGACAAGTGTTTGTATTTTGTCATATGCATTTTGCTCCGGCCAAAATGGAAGATGTTAATTTGGTTCTCCTTGCAGCCCACTGGGTGGCATATTGCAAAATTGAGAGGCTTTTGCCTATGGTTTCATTAAATGAAAACGGATTTTCTTTTGTAACATAGCTTAGCCCCCGCCACAGCTATGGTGCAGCAAACAGGCTCATCAAAAGCATCTCCACTCTCCTGGAAGCTGCAGAGAAAGGGAACCTGGAAAACTGGCAAGGAGGCAAAAAGGGTAAGAATTACTAATTAGCCAGGCATCTGGCCACTCTGTGCAAACCAGTCAAATTAATGGGAAATATCACTGTTTATCTCCTCTGCAAGGTTTGCTTAATAGGGAAAAATATTTTTTTTTTTTTTTTTAGTTTTTTGGTCTTTCTATATCAATCTGTCATGGAGAGAAGTACCACAGGATAGAATGTGGGCCTAGGACTCCCATATGCCTGGTGTTCAAGCTGGCCCTGCAGACAGGTCAGTTACAAACTTTGCTGTGGGTCCCTGATAAAAAAGATGAGATTTCCCTCTTGTCTTTGAGAAGTTGACTTTGTAACCCTTTAAGGGTACTCTTCCTTGGTCTTCCACATACGGAGGGTGGGAATTTTGGGGTTAATGCAGGCAGTTAATCTGAAAGGACACATAGTAGTAATGTCACGGCTAGACTTAAAAATTCTCTGGAAGAGTTAAAATCATTTGCAAGCTCAGAGCTGCCTCTTCTAGATTGTTTCTGGGAAAATGAACAGTATTGCCCCACACTGCAGCCAGTAACTATGGTTTTGCCCTTTTATTGCAGCAGCGTGGGTTTGATTCTCAGGTCAAATAATAAGTCATTTCTGGTGTGATATTTGGAGACTTTTCACCACTTATTGATTATCTTTCTCTGCATGGACATCTTCTGACTTTCTGTCTTGAATTTTTCTCTCTCTGAGCTATCTTTGGGGATATCCTAAATCTTTTAAAAACTGCTTGCCATCTCTTTAAGACACCTCATGCATCCATGGTTAAGTCATAATCTTAGTTAAGGCTTATGGCTTTCACATGGGAAGTTACCTTTGGTAAAGTTCAGAGCCAGAAATACTGCCTGTTTGTTTCAGCTAGAATCTATTAATAGAAGATTTATGACTTTTTGCTTGAAATGCTGATTATTTTTGCTTTGGCTTTCACAGTAAAGAAAATACTTTTCTCTTGAGCTATTTACAGCTTTTAACAATTGAGTAAGGTAAACTCTTGTGAGCAAAATGTGGAGCATCCTTCTTTTTCTCAATCAGATTTCACCAAAATTTGAAAACTATTTGTGTATATTCTTAACATATGCAGATACAGTTTTTACATAAGTGCAATAAGAATCTGTTTATCTGTTTTCTTTCGTAACAGAACACAAGTGGAGACACCAGTTATTTTACCAAAGATATGGTTATATTTTATCAACAGAATGGCATACTTTCAGATATAAACAGAATGCCTTAAGGAATTAAAGTTGATGTATAGAGATGACAAAAGCTCCTTGTGGAAACTGCCCTCATAACTTGTCTACACAGTCCTTGTATGGGGCTCCTGACTGGTGGTAAGTAAAAAATCACTTTTTTAAAATCCTCAATTTATCTTGGAACCTTAAGAAAAGAGGAATTCACTCAATCTATATAGCTATTTGTAGGCACAATATAAATTCATAGGTGGACTCAAGGCTTTTAATCAGCTGGGCGTGGTGGCTCATGCCTGCAATCCCAGCACTTTGGGAGGCCAAGGCGGGTGGATCACCTGAGGTCAGGAATTCAAGACCAGCCTGAAGAACATGACCAAACCCCATCTCTACTAAAAATACAAAAATTAGCCAGGCATGGTTGTGGGCGCTTGTAATCCCAACTACTCAGGAGGCTGAGGCAGGAGAATTGCTTGAACCCGGGAGGTGGAGGTTGAGTGAGCCAAGATCATGCCATTGCACTCCAGCCTGGGGGACAGAGTGAGACTCCGTCTCAAAAAAAAAAAAAAAAAAAAAGTCCAATCAGAGATTCCTTCTAGAACAAGGTTCCAGCAATGCCAAATTAGAAAGAGCCTATATGGCAAATAATTATTCTGGTCGTATTTTATGCAAATAATCAGGCTAAGTATAATAAGACTAAAACTTATTTTGATGGTAATTGTGTCCTACTATAATTTGTCCTAATAAAAATGGGGACGGGTTGGGCTGCAAATTTTCCAGTTTTATGCCTGCTTCCCTTTTAAATGTGTTTCAGTTTCAAGTAATCTCTTTGTTCACGCATAGGAACATAGAATTTTAGCAACAGCCAGGTCACATGTCAAACGCTGCTTAGAAATGTCTTCTGCCAGATACCCTACATCATCTCTCTCAAGTTCAAAGTTCCACAGATCTTTAGGGTGGGGCAAAATGCCACCAGTCGTATAGCAAGAGTGACGTTTTCTCTGGTTCCCAATAAGTTCCTCATCTCCATCTGAGTCCATTCAGCCTGTACTTCACTGTCCATATTACTATCAATATTTTGGTTGTGACAGGAAAATAAATCTTGGCACCCCAAAATGACTAAGGTAAAGGGAAAAGTCACGCTGGGAGCTGCTTAGAGCAAACCTGCCTCCCATTCTATTCAAAGTCATCCCTTTGAGGCTCTCCTGAGACAAATGCATATCTGATTGCTTCCTCTCCACTACTGTTTATGTAAAAATACAGATTCACAGAGCCAGACTAAATTGTGTATTCAGTAGAAGGCTGATCAAGGACTCAAAATAATGCAACCTTTTTGTCTCTTACCTACTTCTAACCTGGAAGCCCACACTTCGAGGTGTCCCACCTTACAGGACCAAACCAATGTACCTTACACATATTGATTGATGTCTCATATCTCCCTAAAATGTATAAAATGTAAAAGCAAGCTGTACTCCAGACCACCTTGGGCACATGTCTCAGGACTTCCTAAGGATGTGTCATGGGTGTGTCCTTAACCTTGGCAAAATAAACTTTCTAAATTGACTGAGACCTGTCTCAGATATTTGGGGTTCACACGGTCAAAACCATTCCACAAGTCTCTATGTTGTTCCAAACTTTCCCACATCTTTCTATCTTCTTCTGAGCCCTCCAAACTTCCAACCTCTGCCTGTTATCCAGTTCAAAAGTTACTTCTACATTTTCAGTTATCTTCATAGCAGTACCCCACTCTCTCAGTAACAATTTTCTGTGTCAGTCCATTTTCACACTGCTGTAAAGAACTACCTGAGACTGGGTAATTTATGAAGAGAAAAGGTGTAATTGACTTACATTTCTGCATGGCTGGGGAGGCCTCAGGAAACTTACAGTCATGATTGAAGGCAAAGGGGAAGTAAGGCACATCTTACATGGCAGCTGGAGAGAGAGGGGTGGAGTTGGGGTGGAAGTGCCACACTTCAAAACCATCCAATCTCATGAGAACTCATTCACTATCAAAAGAACAGCAAGGGGGAATTCTGCCCCCATGATCCATTGACCTCCCACCAGGCCCCTCCTCCAACACATGAGGATTACACTTTGAGATGAGATTTGGGTGAGGACACAGAGCGAAACCATATCACGGCAGCTCTCTAAAAACAGAAAAATCTAGATAATTTCAGCCCTAATCATAGAAATATAAGCAACAATCTCTGAAACTTGTAGTATAAATCCAATTATTTATTTATTTATTTATTTTAGAGATGGGCCTTACTGTATTGTCCAGGCTGGAGTGCAGAGGCTATTCACAGGTACAATTTTGGTGTACTACAGCCTCAAACTCCTCGTGTCAAGTGATCATTCTACCCGCTCTCCCTAGAAGCTGGAACTACAGGTGTGTGCCACCACACTTGCTCAGATACAGTTTCTAAATTCAGAAAGTTGCATTTCTACTTTTTTTCTCTTTCCCATGGTCATTCTAATTATGTGGATAATTATCCTGCAAGTCATTTTATGATTAGTTACTACAAATGTAAATGCATTATAGTTTCCATAAAATCTTCTGTGCTGTTTACTTGTTACTAGACTCAATCCTACTTTTGGATACTACTTGAGAGAATAGATGGGCTTTGGTGTTCCCAGAAGAATAGAGTGAATAAAATAGAAACTAATATTACTTATATTTTATAATAATACTGCATTTGCATCATGAGTTTCAGGTCCCACAAAAGCTCATTTAAGTTAACAGCAAGTCCTGATCTCAAATATATGAGCATGTCTACACTTCCTATTTATTCTAAAATAATTTCAGATTGATAGAGCAGTGCTAAGCTCTTACATAAAGTTTTATATATCCTTCAATTTCCTGTAATATTAATATCATACATAACCACAGAATATCTATGAAAACTCAGAAATTGATAAAGGTACAAAACTATTAACTAAAGTATTGTCTGTCTTCATATTTTACCAGGTTTTCCACTAATTCCATTTTTCTGTTTTTGGATCTAATTCAGAATAACATATTACATTTATCATCAAGTGTATTATTGTTTATTGAAGCATAGCCTATTACCATGTAGCTTAGTGGCTCAAAAGCAGCACACATTACTCATAGTTTCTCCGGGTCAGGAATCCAGATGTAGATGATGGCCTGAGCTGAAGGATCAGCTGGAGAGGGATCATCTTCCAAGCTCACATGACTGCTCAGCTCAAGAAGACTTCGACAGTGAATTATTCCAAACCTTTAAAATATCAATAGCAATTCTTCACTAACTGTTCTCCACGAAAATATAAACCACAGAGAAGAGATCAGTGTGCAGTGCATTCTATGAAGCCGTTTCCTCTGATGCCACAACCAGAAAAAGACAGTCCAAAAAAGGAAAACTATAATATGCTTTATGGATACCCAGGCAATAATCCTAAATGAAATACTTTCAACATAAGTCAGGATCATGAAACAGGATTGTATAGTAATACCAAGGGTATTTATTTACTGAGGATCACAAATTTGGTAAAGCATATAAAAGAATTAGTGTAATACACTACATTAAAAAAAACACTATATGATGAAAGCCTCATCACGTCTAAAGATGCAGAATAAGCACTTGACAAATCCAAGTCCAACACCCACTCACAGTAAAAATACTCATTAAGTTTTGCATAGAAGGGAATGTTCTTTATCTAAAAAGGGCATCTATGAAACTCTCACATAACACCACAAGGTATCAAGTAAGTTTCAGTAATTTCCCCAAGATTAGAAACACAAAACGGTTATTGACTCCTGCGAATTCTATTAAACATTATGCCTGAGGATGTAATTGAGAAAATTAGGCTAGGAAAATAATATAAGTCTTCCAGATTGAAAAGGAAGAAGTCAAACTATCTCTATTGGCCAGTCACATAATCTAGTGTATGGAAAATCTTAAGGAATCCACTAAAATAAGGTTGAAATAACAACAAAAACAAAAAGTTCAGTAATGCATTAGCATGCAAGATCAGTGTAAAAAATTGTGGTCTAACACAATACAAATGAATCAAAAAATAAAACTCAGAAAATGATTTCATTTAATATAGCACCAGAAAGGAAATACATTTGAAAATAAATTTAACATAACAACTGCAAGATATATACAGTGAAAATTTAAAAAGATATTGAAGTATTAAAGAAATTCTAAATAAAAAATAAATTTAACATTACAACTGTAAGATATATACACTGAAAATTTAAAGAGACATTGAAGTATTAAGGAAATCCTAAATAAAGAAATAAATTTAACATAACAACTGCAAGATTTATACACTGAAAATTTAAAAAGATATTGTATTAAAGAAAGAAATCCTAAATAAATGAAAAAACATTAGATTTTCATTGATCAGAATGCTATTAAGTATTAACCAAGATGCTAATACTTTCCAAATGTATCTGCAGATTCAATATAGTCCCTGCGGAAATTCTAGCTCGCACTTTTTCTTTATTTTCTGAAATAATTGGATCACTGATTTAAAAATGCATAGGAAAATGCAATTGATCCAGGACAGCCAAAAGAACATTAAAAATTGTTTAAGAAATACAAATGGTATTTACAAGAGTTCTGCCCTTACAGAGATGGAGGATAATTCTCTACTTCTTAAGTATGTGCTTTTCATAGTGACTTTTTTCAAACAAGTACATCATGAAGAGGGAGAAGAATCATTACTTTTGTAGTAGAGAAAACCAAACTGAACTACTTCATCCAGATAATAAAACTAACATTAGCAGTGATAAAGTGGCTGGGTCACTGTAATCCCAGCACCTTGGGAGGCCAAGGTGAAAGAAATATTTGAAGCCAGGACTTGGAAACCAGGCTGGGAAATAGGGACATTATATCTCTACAAAAAAATAAAAATGTATTAGCCATGTGTGGTGGCACATGCCTGTAGTCCCAGCTACTTGGGAGGCTGAGGCAGGAGGCGGAGGTTGCAGTGAGCCGAGATTGCGCCACTGCACTCCAGCCTGGGCAACAGAGAGAGACTGTGTGGAAAGGAAGAAGGAAGGAAGGAAGGGAGGGAGGGAGGGAAAGAAGAGAGAGAGAGAGAGACAGAGAGAGAGAGACAGAGAGAGAGAGACAGAGGGAGAGAGAGAGAGAGAGAGAGAGAGAGAGAAAGAAAGAAGTAAGTGATACTGCATGCCCATAATATATAACCCTGTTATAATTTCATGAGAATAAAACTTTCCTTTAGTGGTCTTCCTCCACAAACCCCAGAACAGCCATCTAATCATGAGTGAAACATCAGATGAATCCCAAAGGAGGGATTTCAATGACATTAGAAACAAGAAAAATCTGAGAAACTGGCACGCCCAAAAGGAGTACACAATACCTAAATGTGTGGTGTCCTGAACACAATCCTGGAACAGAATATGTATATTACGTGAAAAAAGGACATCTGATTAATCGTGGATGTTAATGAATTATAATATACAATATTGATTCGTTAATTGTGACAAATGTCCCATACTAATGTAAGAATTAAATAAAAGAGAAACTGTGTGTTGGGTATAAATAAACTCACTGTATTTATTTCTAACCATTCTGAAAATCCAAAACTATTCTAAAATAGATTTTTTTAAAGTACACCATTGAGTTTAATAAGTAGAAGATTATCAATATTGTTGCGTCCCATGTATGCATCTCCCATTTCCATCCTCTTCTTTTTATTTTATCCCAGTGAAGGTTACTATTATTTTAATTTTTCATTTTGCCATTCACAAATTGTTCTTTTTAAGTTTTTTTCTCTAACTTTGCATTTGCAAATAATATCTTGTTCGGTGTTTCTTGTTTCACAAGTAGATAATAATGTGTTTCTGTCTGTCTATACTGCTCAACAAAATTATGAGAAAACTTCAGAGAAATCCAGACTGTGATACATTGTACAAAATATGTGACCTGTTCTCACAAAGGCCAAGGTCAGCAAAAGAAGTGAAGATTGAGCGACTGTTACAGATTGGGCAGGACCTAATGTTGGAGGCAGGCTCTAAGATGGTGCGCAGTGATCCTCACGACTTGGTGTACACAACCTGGCATGCTAATCCTTTCCTTGTGAATTTAGGGAGAACCTGAGACTTGCTTTGAGTCAAACGAATACTACAGTGTGATGGATGTCACTTGGATGATCATATTACATAAGACTGTGACTTCTGTCTTGCTGCAAAACCTCTCCCTTGGTGGCTCTGATGGCACATTCTGTCGTGAGGGAGAAGCCAGCATGGGAAGGAACTGAATGCAGCCTCAGGCCAACAGGCAGCAAGGAACTGATGCCCTTGCTTCAGTAGCTTTCCCTGGTGGTTGCAATTTACAGTTGGCACTAATCTAAGCCCCTTTCATTTAGGAGTATATCACTTCAGAATTAGAGTGACAACCTTGTATTAACAGAATACTCCTAATTATTTCCTCCTTTTTCTTGTATTTTTTCTTTTGTCCCTTGTATCTTTCCTTTCATTTCACTTACATGTAAAAAGACTTGTGCATATATGCATGTATATGTATATACATATGTGTATATGTACCTTATGCATATATAATCATATACGTATTTGGTATTTTTATTTTAAACAAGCTGTTATGGCCGGGCATGGTGGCTTACGCCTGTAATCAGATCCCAGCACTTTGGGAGGCCGAGGCGGGCAGATCACGAGGTCAAGAGATCCAGACCATCCTGGCTAACACGGTGAAACCCCATCTCTACTAAAAATACAAAAAATTAGCCAGGCATGGTGGCGGGCGCCTGTAGTCCCAGCTACTCTGGAGGCTGAGGCAGGAGAATGGCGTTAACTCGGGAGGCGGAGTTTGCAGTGAGCCGAGATCGCACCACTGGACTCCAGCCTGGGTGACAGAGTGAGACTCTGTCTCAAAAAAAAAAAAAGAAAAACAAGAAAAAACAAGTGTTATATGTAAGATCAATTAAGAATATACAAAATAAAAGTTTTTATTACCTTGGGTAACCAATAAAATAGTATAAAAGAAATATGTCCTACATGCTAAGAAAGAAAAGATGAAATCATATGAAATGCTGAATGAAAACCACAAAAGGAAGAAAATGACTGGATGACATTTAAAAATAGAAACAAAGGCAGTGCAAGAACTAGAAGATAGTAACAAATACAGTGGATATGATTCCAACTGTATCAATAATCACTTTGAATGTCAGGGTTCTTAAGGTACCAGTTAAAAAACACAGATAGAGTAGATGTAAAAATAAGGCCCACCTACATAAGAAAACTAATTTAAATATAAAGACACATGGATTAACAACGAAGAGATAGAATAAACATAACATACTCCATTAATCAAAGAAAACAAGTGTACATATATTAATTTCCAACAGAGCAGACTTTAAAGCAAATAAAATGATGAAGAAAAAAGACAGGCATAAGTTAAGGATAAAAGGGGTGATTCTCTAAGAAAATATAACTGTCCTCAATAGGTATAAGCCTAAAAATAGTGTGTTAAATTAGGTGATGGGGGAATCTAAGGAAGAAAGAGATGAGTCCACTATTATCGTTGGAGACATCAACACTCTCTATCAAGAATCAACACATACAACAGGTAAAATACAAGCAAGGGCATATTATCACTCAACTATACAATCAGTCAACTCAATATAACTTATATCTTTAAACTACTAACTCCAACAATGTGAATAATATACATATTTCCCCAGCCCATAAGGATGCCTCTGCAAGACTGGCAAGACTGACCATATTATAGGACTTAGAACACCACTTATTAAATTTAAAAGAATAGGACTCACACAATGATTGCTCTCAGACCAAGAGAAAATTAATCTAGAAGTAAGTAACAGAAAGGTAACTGAAATATCCCCAAATACATGGAGATTAAACAACACACTTCGATACACAACATGGCCCAAAGAAGATATCTCAAGATTTATTAAAAATATTTTGACCCAAATAGCAATGAAAAAAACTTAACGAAATTAATGGATGTAACAAGTAGAGTTTAAATGAGATTCTATTGAATACATATGTTTGAAAGAAAGACCAAATTTCATCATCTAAGTTTCCACCATAGGAAAGTAGAACAAGAGAAAATCAAATGGAAAATAAGCAGCAAAAAAGACATACTATTGCAAGGTAAGTAAAAGCAAAGTAAAAGATAAAGCAACAAGATTGTTTAAAAGAATATTGATAGCTTAATAGTTTCCAGAACATAGAAGTATCCAAAATTAATAAAGAAAACACAATAGCCCTCACACAATGCTTGCTTGCAGATGTGACTGTCCCTTAAAAAGAGCAGATACTTTGAAGCATGATCAATAAAGGCATATTAAGTGAAGTAATTTTATTTACTAAGTTTTAAAAGCATAAATGTAAACAATCCACCCCTAAATATTCAGGTTGATAACAATTACTATAAATATGAAAGGGGACTGGACACAGTGACTCATGCCTGTAATCCCAACAGTTTGGGAGGCCAAGGTGGGCAGATCACCTGAGGTCAAGAATTTGAGACCAACCTGGCCAACATGGTGAAACCTGATCTCTACTAAAAATACAAAAATTAGCTGGGCATGGTGGCAGGTGCCTGTAATCCCAGCTACTCAGGAGGCTGAGGTGGGAGAATCCTTTGAACCCAGAAGGTGGATGTTGCAGTGAGCCGAGATTGTACCATTGCACTCCAGCCTGGGCAACAAGAGAGAAACTGTCTCGAAAAAAAAAATATATATGTGTGTGTGTGTGTGTGTGTGTGTGTGTGTGTGTGTGTGTATATGTGTGTGTGTATATACATATGTGTGTATATGTGTGTATATATGTGTATATGTGTGTGTATATGTGTATATATGTGTGTATATATATACACACACACACAAACATATACACACACATATATATTCCCATATATACATATATATGGGAATAAATTCATATATATCACATGTTAGAATCTCAGAGACATGAGGACATCATGAAGTTTGTATGAGAATATCAAAGAACATGTAAGAGAACATGCAGAGACAGGCATGTGAACATGTGTATGTCCAGGGGGAAAAGTTGCCTCTGGATCATTACTAGTCCCTCCGTGATCTGCCCTTCCTGCTCCTGCCTCCTCATTACTGATCCCAGTGGTCCTTCCAATCCACCACCCTTTTCTCATGGCCTGGCCTGTGCCACAAACACATGTTTTTCTCTTCCCTTTCCCTCCCCTGTCTGCTAGACACACTGCACCTCACTCTCAAGCATCTCCTCCAACGATCCTCCTCCTGGAGGCCCCCCTTGTCCCTCCCATCCTAGGCCTGATGCCTGTCCTCTGAGGTCCCAAGGGCAACTACTCCACTTGCAGTTTAGTTTCTGTTAAGTTTTCTGAATCCCCACTAGGTTTAAATATCAGAGATTTTGGAAGCGTTGTCTATTTCATTCCCCTGTGAGCCCCACACATGTAGTGGACAATGAGTAACACAGAAGATTCTCCTTCATATTGAATTTCACCAATGGATTAACGCCTCTCAAACACCTCTCACCTATAATCTTGTCTACTTCCCAAGAAACTCTATCTCTCAATTTGAAGTAGGTTTGAATGTGAAGATGACCATGTTTCTTTTGCTTTCTTCTGTTCTCATGACAGGGTGTGAGCCCTGACTCCTCCCCCACCATCAAGCTTCTTCTCCAGCCTACCCATCCGCAATCCACTCTAGAGACCCTCTCATGGGCCCTGCTCCTCCTGGCTTATCCATACTTCTTTGGTCCTTTTGGACAGTGTTGTGCTCTTAGTTTAAATAAAATATTCTTGTTCACCAAGATTTAGCTCTATTTATAAGGCTCCTTTGGTGAATATTTCAAAATCTTTATTAATTACCATATTTCTTCAATTTTACTATGTGTTACTATGTGTGTGAGTCTTTTTGTTTTGTTTTGTTTTTTGCTTTTCATCACTGTCACTGCTAGGCTTGTGTTAGCCATGACATGATTCAACTTTTCAGCACATGGATGAATACATCCTGAAATTTTATATTGTCACCTTCTCATAAGATCACCATCATCAAAACTACCAGAATGGGTATCAATAAGAAAGGTGCAAATCCCACAATGGTACAGCCTCTTTTTTATGAAAAAGTATGGCTTTCCCATATCTCTTCATGTACACAGGGTGTTGTTAAGGTTTCTATAGCTCTGGGTAAAAAGCTAATTCAGAGTAATCATAATCAGAATACCAAAATATGTGTGACTTAATTTATAAATTAATTTCAATATTACTTTCATTTTTATATGAATAAAACTTGTAAATTCAAAATTCTAAAACGACTTTTTCAGTAAGTATAAGTAAGTCTATTATGTGTATAGTAGTTTGACAGAGATATTATTCTTTTAGATCCTTCTACATCTTTGATTCATCGACATACAGTGAATGTTCCCAACGAGACACTACAGACATTACATATTCACCAATCTGACTTCCCCTTTAGTGATACAAAGGCCAGCTCACTTGTCCATCTTTCTCTGTGAGTGTGATGCACATTGTTCCTTACTCAGTTTCATATGGGCAACGAGATCCATACAGGTGGTGGTACAGTAATGATAGAGTAGTTGCTGGAAGAATGAAACAAAACATTGTGGAAAAATTTATTGGGATTAGATATGGCTTATCACATGTAAAAATGGACAATCTTTCTGGAATGATGGACTGCAAGACAGTGCACATCTAACAATGACATCTGAGAGATGTGAAACAATGATATGAGGGTTACTATTGCCTCAGGTTACTGCCTGGGGAGAATTTCCAGGATATGGTGTAGCACGGACTCTGGAAAACACCCTGAGTTGAGAAGATGGAACTGAGAGTCTGGGGAACAAAGTGGCTGAATTTCATGAAGCCATTCTCCACGTGCAGTGGTAGGAATAGGAGAGAGCACTCATGCCAACACGCATGCAGGCTGGACTATGGTGCCATCATTACTCCACTGAGACACAGTTCACAGGAGTACAGGAGTGGTATAGAAACACAAAGCAAAGATACAAAGAGAAGTAATTTGAATGAACTTCACCTTCACCCTTTCATCTAATTTCCTACTGCAAAAAGACAAAGCTTTTAATGACTCAGTGATCTGGCAACAAGTCCAAAGATGAAGGGATGGCTATTGCTTAGAAATGAAGCAAATGATGTGTTAAGTAGATTCAGTCACCCTACGTGGACACCAACCTGCCTTTCCTATGTTATCCTGTTAGTTGTTGCTCATAAAATCACTGCATTATGAAATAATTAAAATATAGCTATCCACTTACAAGAGTAGAGCATGTTCATCATCTAAAGGAGGAGAAACCAATAAAGCTTTCCACCTCTATTGGTTTTCCTTAAAAATCTCCAGTTTCTTTAACATTTGAACAATATTTTTCTCTGCTTTTCACTACGTACATACCACAGGCTATATAGTATAGGGTTACTCTCTACATGCAGTGAAATTAAGTTAAATTGTAACTGAGTACCCCATTTTTCTAAAAATTATCTTTGTCTTTTTTTCCCCTCTATGTTCACCTGTTACTTAGCTCCTTAGAAATGCAAATGTAACCTTTTTCCCTCCATCCTTTCCACCAGGGAGATAACCAGCAAGCATTGCCAGCTTATCTAAGTATGTGCTTGCTTAGAAATTACAAAATGTTGAACAAAAACAGGCATGCTTCAGAATTCTCCCCCACAAGGAGATTGTCTCAAGACATCAGTTAATCCACAACCCAACTCTGTCTTTAATGATGCTGGCCAGGCTAACAGATGACCCACGATTACAGATAAGTCCTCTAGCAAGTCACGTAGACCCTGCACCTCCATGCCCCTTCTGCATGCCCTGTATACCAAAATTTCTCCTTACAATCCTGCTTTCTGCCCAGAAAACTGAAGTGGTTCCTTGAGATATGAAACTGGCCCTTCCCCTTGCTAAAATCCGGAATAAAGTCACGTTCTTTTTCCAACCCTTTGACTTATTATTTGATTTTACAAGTGGCCACTGCCCAACCTACATTCTGTAGCACAATGGTACCTGACTATAATATAACAGATGAGGGACACTTCTTTCTATTTTTTTAACCAGGATCTGTAAATGAAATTTTCTGTTTATGCTATTAAAGCCCATAGACCCTGACTACAGCCACACCTAGCAGAACAAGTGCCCATCTGTTAATACAGAACAAAAGTCCCGATAGAATATCAATGTTTTTCCTCTGTTGATTGCTCATGTCTCACACGTCTTGAACAAACGTCTCCAATCTTTGCCTAAGTTTTGACTAAGACAACAAAAGTAAAATCTAAAAAATTCACAAGCATGAAAACGTTTTGAGACTATTAAGCCGGATGAAAATGATAATAAATAAAAGATTGAAATTCCTTTTTGTAAGCTAATGGCACAAAAACATTTTCTGATTACAGCACATGAGGTACACATTTTCTAACTGGTATTTTTTACATCTCTGAGAACTAAAAATGAATTTAATAATCACTCATCAAAAATAAGAAAATAATTCATATCTAATAGAATCTAATAGAATGGGTGATCCATACAGAGAACTGTCAAGTACACGTACATGGAGGTGAAGTGGAAGGAATTATGGAGTCCAGTCAATGTCTAAATCTTTTGTACAAGGAGAAAATGAAACATCATGAAGTTCACACCTGCACGGTTAAGAAGAGGTTGCTCCTTGCATTCAGATGTAAAGTCTAACTTTCCTGCCACACAAATCAATACCTTGTTGACCTTTCACATGTACAGCAAACTAAGCCATAGAATAGAAAGTTTGACAGATCTTTTTAAGCATAAGAAGATCTTCTTAATGTGGGACAATTTTGCCTTGTGGCTTACAGAATAGTTTCTGTCCTTCTTTTTAACCAGAGCTATTTAAGAGAAAATTTCTGGAAAATCATAAAATAGAATGTGTATCATCTGTCATTTCTAATAAAGTGATATTAACATTCAATTTATGAAAGAGCAATAGAAGTAAAGATGAAAATAATTGATATGGTTCATTGAAAAATAATTATGAATGCATTTTTAAAATAGAGAAATAAAGGCCTTAAATCTACAATACAAAAATAAATATTTGGTTTTAGATGATATTTACATGACCAAAAAAAGAGAATATTTATACACAAGTGTTTAAGACATTTGCACAACAAATTAAATCAAAATCAAGGAGAAATATCACAACGTAAAATCTAAAGTCTTAAGGTGTCATTGGTAAGCAAGCAGAATCATTTTTGAACAAACTCAGCCTTTTTTAAAAGACTTGAATTCCCTACCTCAACCCACAACCAAGGCAGGGAGCTGCTGTCCTTGTGCATGCAGAGCCCCCAGAGAGGCTCTGAGCTCAGAGGCTCCCCTGTGAACCTGCCTCTGTTGGGCATGGTCTGGAGGGGGACCCTGTTCACAGGATCATCTACAGCAGGGCAGGAGGGAGCCAAGGCTGCCTCTCCAGGTTTTCAACAACATTGGCTGTTGTCAAAGATACTGAATACATAAAGTGGGTAGTGGTGTTGGGAGACTGCCTAAGATTCACAAGGACGTAGAGATTTCAGAGTCAATGGCAACGCTCTAAAGTTGTATATCCACAGCCTCATTCAAGGTACAGCTGAAAGGATTGCTGTAGGTGCAAGGCATGCAGCTCTGAACTTCTTTCACCTCATTATAGAGCAGCTCAGTGGTTAAAAGAACAGGCCCTGGGCCAGGCACAATGGATCATGCTTGCAATTCCTATGCTTTGGGAGACTAAGGAGGGTGGATTGCTTAAGGCCAGGAATTCTAGAGCAGCCTAGGCAACAAAGACAGACCTCCTCTAATAACATCATTATATTATAATTACTGGAAAAAAAGCTGTTTTCAAAACATATATATGTGGATATTTCTCGTCTTTTGTCACTCCTATGATTACATGGGATGGAACATATAAGGAAAATACACCAACAAAGGTTTTCCTAAATTTTCTCCCATTCAGATCCAACTCTCCTGAATCACTCTTCAATTCATCTTGCTCATGGTGTTACCCATGTTATCATCATTTGTGCTAATCTGAAGCTTTGGTGATGCTGCATTTCCTGTGATATTCCTATGTTGCTCCTGCGAGTTTCTATTTTCAACCTTCTGAAACCTCCTATGCAAGATTTGATGCTGATGCTGATGATATCACCCAAAAACGTCGACAGGAGGTTTGCAGACCAAGCTCATACACAGGTAAATGAGGACAATCACTTTATGACTGCCTTCTCATCAATAGTGTTTTAACACTTTCAAATTTAAGATGCATCTGCATTTGATAGATGTGAAAATGTGCACTCTACGATGAATGGAATACACTGTGTTCTCTGTGACTGCTCATTTCTCAGTGTTAAATTATGGTGGCTCATTGGCTATACTCTTGTTTGTTATTGAGGAAATATGCTTAAATCTTATCACATAAATTTATAAACTGCATTTATATTCTACCTGGAAGCTTCACCGCTGTCCTCCATTAGGGAAGTCCAGTTTGTCCACTTCCAATTAAAGTGAGTGTCCAGAGAGGTGTTATAAACTGCATTTATAATTTTAGACACATTAGAGTTGTTAGTGGAGTACTAGAATTCTTATGTCACGTATGGAAATATAGTTCTATGAACCATGGTTTAAGAAATCCATTGAAGACAGAGATGAAAATTGTAAAGAGCTACTTGAAAAATTCACTGGCGTGGTAGCTCTCTAAAGACCTGGAAAAAGCTGTATTTTGAAACTTTAAGCTTTAATCTTAGAAATATGAGCAACGCTTCCTGTAAACTTCATTACAGATTCCATTATTTTAGGTGTAACATTTGTGTATCTTTTTCTTCATTCACATTTGTCCTTTTAATCACATGGCTGGTGATCGTAGAAAGCACCTTATGATTAGTCACTGTAGAAGTGAATGCATAATGGTCTTTATAAGATATTTTGATCCGTCCCCTTGCTACTCTGGTCAACTCTACTTTGGGTACTTGGATATTGGAATTGGTTTCGGTGTCCCCTCATGAGTACACTGAGTGATAAAAAAACTCATACAGTCACAGTTAAGGGGGTTGACTGAAATTTCACCTGGAGTTTTTGACTCCGGGAAGGTTGAATTAAGTAAACACAAAGTCATGTCATTACATATATGAGACATTCCTTCCTTGAACTCAATCTTCTTATCAGGTTAGAGTGTGGAGACAGAGCACTGGGTTTGCCTCATGATGTCGTCTAAAAATGTGGTTTGTTTACAACAGCATCTTTTGTAGACTTGTGGTGTCCAGACCAGCCTCTATACAACTGTTGATTTAGGATACTGTGAGAAATCATATCTTCCATGCAGTTAAAGTTTGTCTAGGGACTCAGTGCTCAGCACTTTGTCATCTGTGCCTGTGACATCCTGCTATTCAAGATTTATGGATGTCAATGGGAGTTCAATATGTAGTTCCATGGCTTTGTAGGCCTTTTAGGCATGGTTCCTGAAAACAACTCTGCTGCTACTAAGAAGAGTGCAATGGCCTCTTAATAGGAAGCTGTGTGGAGAATTAGTGGGCAGCCAGTACACATGCAGAGTCATCAGTCAGCCTGTTTCTGTCTCTCAGATCACTGCATGGAGGGTTGGAGATATGCTATATACTGTTATTTTATTTTATTGTTTTTTTGCCTACTGAGATTTCTCTTCTTGTGCCCAACATGTATGTATCACTCAGTAGCATTCACCTGCAAAAACTCTGTTATAAAGTTTTATTCCCAGGCCTCTGGAAGCAGGGACTGCCCTAAAGCAACTTATTAGAAATATTTTTTGTACTCTGCTTACCTGCTATCTTGATGGCTTTAGGGTTGGCCAAGGGCAATATAATTCCACCATGTGAGTATCAACAGAGTGCACAGTCCTGCACAGTTCCTGATGGAGCCTGTAGAATGAAGAGAACTAAATTAGAACAGGTTTTCTGAAAGGTTTGAAGGTAAAGTTGACCTTGGGTTACTTGAAGAAGAAATCCCCGTACCAAGAAAACATGATCCTGAATGCAGAAATATGATTTCTGTTCCCTGTCACTGAAATTTCTTATTCTTGCCTTATATCATCTGGAAGTCATGTCTTCCGAAAAGGTTAGTGGGATCCTGAATACACTCTGCTAAATGCTGTCCTAAAATGAGGCTTTCTGGGATATGTGAAAAACAGGCATCTTCCTTTCAGGAAGTGGATGCTGACGCTCTAATGACTAGGTAGTGGGGAAGGAGAAAGAGGATGAGTCCTTGGAGCTTGATGGTACCTTCCTGAAGGAGTGGCACCTGGGTTTCGAATGTTGCCTAGAAAAGAAAAGAAAAGCCAGTTTACTATTCTCTCCCTACATGCCCACTTGTATCTGGAGGCAAAAGTTTTTTGCTGATGTCTTTACTTGCTTACTTTTCTTAAAAAAATAATAATAATATTAAAAAACATATTTATTTTGAAATAACTGCAGATTTACATAAATGCACATAGGTAAGTACAGACAGTTTCATATACCATTCAGATAACTAGAATGTTAATATATATTGTAACCATAGCATATTCATGAAAACTAAGAATTTAACTGTTTTTCAAGACTATTAACTGATCTACAAACTTCCTTCATATTTTACCAGGTTTTCTAATAATCATATACTTATCTATTCCAGGACCTAATCCAGAATACCACCTAACAATTACTGTCAGGTATATTACTTACTACTTGGTGCATAACAAATTACTACATACCTTAGTGGCTCAGAACCACACACATACTACTCACGGTTTCTCTGGGTCTTCGGTCTAGATGTAGGGGATGGCTCAGGCTGAGGCTCAGCTGGGGAAGGGTCTCCTTCCAAACTCACATGATTGTTCTTAGGATTCACCTCCCTGCCCTCATCAGGAACTCATTGATGTGTTATTAAAATCACTTAAAATTAATACTAATTTATCAAAAATATTTCAAAACAATACAATAATAATAAAGAAGTAGAAAATAGATCACTTCCCATTGTATACTATGAATTAGTTTACCCTGATTGAACAACTACACAAAGACATTTCAAATAAGGAGAATGAAGACCAATATGCCTTATAAATACAGAGACAAAAATCAGCAGCGAGATATTATCAAATGAAATCAGCAACATGTAGAAAGTATTATAAACTATGGCAAAAGGTATTTACCTCAGGAATGCAAATTTGGTTCAACATATGATACAATTAATGTCATACACTATATTAATAAAGAATAAAAACTACACAATCGTCTCAGAAGGTGTGCAACAAGCACTTGAAAATTCCCAGATTCAGTATTATAAAAACATGCAGCAAATTAGGCAGATAAGAGAACTTTCTTCATTTCAAAGGGCATCTATGAAAAGCTCACATATCATCATAAGTAATCTGAAAGGTTCACTAATTTCTCTGATATTAGAAAGAAGTCAAATATTTCCACTGTTGACACTTGTTCGCAACATTGTACTGGAGAATGTAGACAGGGCAATTCATTTAGAAAAATAAATATAACGTTTCTAGTATGGAAAGGAAGTCAAACTCCGACTGTTTGCAAATGACATGATCTCATGTATAAAAAGTCCAAAGGACTCTATCAAATATGTTTAGAATTTAAAGATGAGTTCAAAGAAGTTTGCAGCATATAAAATATATAAAATATTTTAAATTTCTCTATACTAGCAATTAACAATCTAAAAACAAAACTCAGAAAATCGTTCCAATTAAGATCACATCAAAAATACTTAGGAATAACCTTATCAAATTAAGTATAAGATATGTACACTAAAAACTACAGAATGCATATTGTTAGGTTGGCAATATTTTCCAAATGGATCTATAGAATTAATGCAACTTCTCTCAAAACACCAGGTGGCATTACCTTCCCCTAAATTCAGAAGTTTATCCTAAAATTATATATAATATAGATCATGAGCAGCCAAAACACTCTTGAGAAGGACAAAAAGGGTTTGCATAGTAGACATATGCTTCTTGATTGCAAAACTTACTACAAAGTAATAGTAATCAAGATTTGTGGTACTAGTATAGGGATATATGTATTGATCAATGGAGTAGAGAATATAATACTGAAAAATGAATCCCTACATTTATGGTGAAATGCTTTTATACTGTGGCCAAATAAATTAGGTATGAAGCAATATTTTCTTGTCAAATGTTTGTGGGTCAAGTGGATATCCACATGCAAGTTAGACTCTTGCCTCATACCAGAAACATAATTGACTCAAAATGATAATCCATCTAAATATAAGAGCTAAACAGGGCCAACCCATAAAAAGGAACACAGGAATACATCTTTGTGGTCTCTGGTTAAACAATGTTTTAAGATATGACACTGAAAAGCACAAAGGAAAGAAGAAAATATAGAAATATTAAACTTCATTAGAATTAAAATCTTTTGCAATTTAAAGTCCACCATCAAATATAAAGAGGCACCCAAAGAATGGCAGAAAATATGTGAAAATTGCAAATTTTATAGGTGATAATGGTCTATTATCCAGAATATACAATGTCTTACAACTCAAAATTAAAAAGGCAAATATCCCAATCAAAAATGGCAAAATCTTAAATAGCCAACTCTCAAAAGAAAGCCATAGTCATATCCAAAATCACATGAAATTATGCTCAATGTCTTTTGTCATTATGAGGTAGGAGACTGGAAGGACTTGTTTTCTGGTTTCACAACCTTGATGACCAAAATAAGATCTGCTCCAGACAGGATAAAGGGAAAAAACTGACAGAAGCGTGTACATTGTGGTAAATGTGATCCCTGGCAGTCTTCATTTGTCACTCATATGACACTCCTACCAACCACATAACTGTTTACAAATTCCATGGCTACAGCTCAGAAGTTACTGCCCCTTTCCATGGAGACAACCTAGAAGTCACTGCCCCTTTCCTGCCTCAATTTGCATTGATCTGCCCCTCAATTTGCATATAATTAAAAGTGGGTTTGATTGCATATAAACACAGTTGCCAGGAGGCCTATATGTTGCCAACTCTGAACACACTGCTTAAGAGTTAGCCCTGCTCTGCTAGGAGCAGTACCATTCAATAAAATATTGCAGTCTAACATCACCCACTTGCCCTTAAATTCTTTCCTGGACAAAGCTAATAACCCTCTCAGGATAAGCCCCAATTGTGTGACTCACCTGTCCTACAACAATTAGGTGAAGGCAAATCTAAAAACCATGAGGTGTACTTCAAAAATCTAAAAAGCATATTGCTAAAAAATATAAGTTGGAAAAGGTAAAATACTGTGAAAAGGCAAACTTGTGACCTCCTAAATAAGGTTTTTAATTTGCATAAATTAGCTACACTCTTTGTGTTACAAAGTTCTTCAGGATTTGGAAAACATTATGATGTATCCACCGTTACAGTATCAAAGAGGAATTTCACTGCCCAAAAGAAATCTTCGGTAGTTCACTGATGTCACCTATATCTCTCCCAAGCCCCTTGTTACCACTGAACTCTACTATCACTACACTTTTTCCTTTTCTACAGAGTCATATGAATGGAATTACACAGTATTTTGACTGTTTCAACTTGTATTTTTCTACATAGCAATATACCTTGTTCAGGTAGCATGATTAAATTAACAACATCAACTTGCTTGCAGGGAGTGCTAGATTACATACAAATGAGAGAATGAGTGGATCCATTTATATGGTGCTGGATTAGGTCATATGGTGTTGGAAACATTCGTAGAAATTATAAAATTACCAAATTACCCTGGAGCACAATTAAATTCATAGACTGGAGCATATAATAGTGACTGAACAAAAGAAAATGCCAAACAACAACAAAACCAACCAACCACACAACATCAAACTTTAATTATGGAGGTATTTCAAAGTGATACAAGAGACAACTTAAAAACCTTCCAATAGCCAACACTGGAACAATTTGTGCAATTAAAAAAAAAAATAGCGGCCAAGCATGGTGGCTCATGCCTGTAATCCCAGCACTTTGGGAGGCCGAGGAGGGTGGATCATCTGAGGTATGGAGTTTAAGACCAACCTGGCCAACATGGTGAAACCCTGTCTCTACTAAAAACACAAAACTTAGCCAGGTGTAGTGTCTCATGCCTGTAATCCCAGCCAGTCAGGAAACTGAGGCACTAGAATCGCTTGAACCCAGGGGGCAGAGGTTGCGATGAGCTGAGATCGCACCATTGCACTCCAGCCTGGGCAACAGAGAAAGGCTCTGTCTCAAAAAAAAAAAAATAGCACATACGCATTGTAAAATAAATCTCCATATTTAGATAATGATATAAATAAAAGATGCATGTATAAATGAATAAATTAATACACATGAAATAATTGGAAGAGAGTAGGCACATGTTTATGGTGAAGGTTTAAAGGAATTTGTAGACATTCTGCCAATAATGAATGTCTACTCTGGTTGACAGTTTGTACCCTTGTTGAGTTTGTACTCTTGGTACGATATGATGAGAATGGCAGTTTTTGGCAAGGCACAGTGGCTCACACCTGTAATCCCAGACTAGCCTGGGCACCACATTAAGACCCCATCTCTATAACAAAATAAATATCACTTGAGCCCAGGAGTTTGACTCTGGCCTGGGCAACATGGTGAAACCTTGCCTCTACCAAAAATCTAACAAACAACAACAACAACAATAAATTAGTCCAGCATGGTGGCACATACCTGTAGTCTCAGCTACCTTGGAGGTTGAGAGGGAAGGATCCTTAAGCACAGAAGATGGAGGCTGTAGTGAGCCAAGCTCATGACACTGCACTCCAGCCTGGGAGAGAGAGTGAGACACTGTCTCAAAATTAAATAAATAAATAAATAAATAAAAATGACACTTTTCCTCGTGATCTTCCTCCCCTAAACCCACAAATCCAGTCTTATCATTAGAGAAACATCAGACAAATCCCACATTAGTAATATTAATGGCATCAAAAATAAGGAAACTCCGAAAAACTGTGACAGTCAGAGAATTCTAAGGAGACATGACATGTACCTGTGATGAGGTATCCTGGATGAGATTCTGGAATAGAAACAGGACATTAAGTAAAAACTAAAAAAAAGTGAGTAAAGTATAAAGAGTAGTTATAGTGTTATAAAACTGATTGGTTGTGACAAATGTCCTACATTAATGTAAGAATTTCATAAAAATGGAAACTTCGTGGGATATATGGAAATTCTATGTACTACATTTACAACTGTTCTGTAAACCTAAAACCATTCTTAAATTTATAAGCTTTCTTTATCTTTAAAGTCACTGCTGACCTTATAAAACAACATGAGCAATATGTCTGATGGCCCTTAGTGCATCTCCTGAGCTTCACCATCTTCCTTAATCACTGAAAGTAGTTATTACTGTGAATTACTTGTTATCCTCTAGTTTGTGTTTATTATATTTACCTCTATGTTTATATTTCTAATATCTGTAATGTTTATTTTTCTGGTCTTCAAACATACATGCATGGTTTTAATGTATTTATGTCCCTAGTTTAATCATGAGAAATCATGAGACAAATTCATATTGTGGGAAAACCTACAAAATATCTGACCTGTACTTTTCAAAAAAGTCAAGTTCACAAAAAATAAGTGAAGACTGAGAAATCTGCAGATTGGAGAATACTTGATGTGTCAGGTAGACCCTACGATGGTGCCCAGTGAACCTCACCTGTAAGAAATACACTGCTTACGTTATTTCATGTGCTCTATTGAGTGGCCTCCTCTGTGTCTCTCATGACCAACACACCTGAACTTAACATTTTTCCAATTCAGAGTTTTCCTAGAAAGTGGTTGTGTTGATATGAATGTAGTGGTCACGGTTCTGAAAAGTGCCATAAGGGCATCTGACAGTATTTAAAAGGTTACAGTAATCCAACCTCAATGCCCATCAATCAATGAATGGATAAGGAAACTGCGGTATATATATATATATATATAATGGACTACTACTCAACCATAAAAAGGAATGAGTTAATGGCTTTTGCAGCAACCTGGATGAGATTAGAGATTATTATTCTAAGTGAAGTAACTCAGGAATAGAACACCAAACATCGTAGGATCTCACTCATAAGTGGGAGCTAAGTTATGAGGATGCAAAGGCATAAGAATGACACAATGGACTCTGGGAACTCAGGAGAAAAGGGTGGGAAGGGGGTGAGGGATCAAAAACTACAAATAGGGTGCAGTGTATACTGCTCAGGTGATGGGTGCACCAAAATCTCACAAATCACCACTAAACAACTTACTCATGTAACCCAAACCACCTGTTCCCCAATAACCTATGGAAATAAAAACAAATTACAGTAAGAAGGATGCCTGGTCAAGGATTGGACAATTAGACATTGAGTCATCTACCAGGATAAATAAGTATCCTATGAAAGGTGCACTGTCAACATCCAGGACCAATATCCTGGGGTCCTGTTAGACAGCGTTATAATTTGAAGCCATTGTCCCAAGAGAGACCTCAAGAGAATATTAGATACTACAAAAATGAAACACAGAAGTAGAGGTAATTTTATAAATCATGGCTCAAAGATCCCATGGAGAAGGAAGATAGAAGTGGTAAAGTGTTACTTGAAAGTTTACAGAGTTGCAGAGTGCAGCTCTCTCAAGACAGAAATACTTACCTTGAGACTGTTTGCCTTAATCTCAGAAATATAAGCAGAGACTATTCGAAGTTGCTTTCCAAATCCAATTCTTCATTTTGATCAACTACCTATCTTTCTCTCTCTCTCTCCTTTTATTCTTCCTATGTCATAAACGATGGTCATGTGAATCTCACTGTAAGCAGTCGCTGCTGACACAGGCACGTTACAGTCATCATGAAATGCTTTGCTCTGACCACTTGTCACTCTTGTCAACTCCACTTGTTGATACTTGGAAAATCAAACAGGCCTTGGTGTTCCCTGAAGACTGTACTGCATGAAGAAGAAACTCACATAATTTATAATTTAGAATGTTGAGCATATTTGCACTGAGAGTTTCAGCTTCTACGAGGGCTCAGTTCAGTGAACAGAAAGCCCTAATTTCAAATATAGGAGTCATGCACCTTTTAAGCTTTATTCTCCATTCAGGGTACAGGGTGGAGAGGGGTTGGGTTCAGGCCTCATGATGTGGTCAGACAATGAGATGTTTTCAATAGCATCTTTCTGAGAATTCTAGTGGCCAATCCAGCCTCAGTACAATGTGGTCACAGGTGGTTTACTGTCTTGTGAGAAATCATAACTTCCATGCTATGGTGGTAGAGTTTGGGAGCTCGGTGCTCAGCACTGTGTTTGTTCTTTATGCCAGGGATATCACGGTAGCACAGTTTTGTGTCTATCACCTTTCCTATCTTAACCCTGGGCATTCAGAACTCATTGACCCTCTTGCTACCTAGAGATGAGTCTCTCCTTAGACACATCTACTTCCATCTCCTTCATGGCCTGCCACTTGGTGATTTTGTTTTTCCTGAATAGTTTGGTGATGAATGATCTTCACAGTACACATCATAACAGACCATATGTATGCATAGAAATGAAGAGAAAAATGGGATTTGACAAGTCACTTACCTTATAGAAACTCCTCTTATAATGAAATGAAACGAGCAAACTTCCATTTACTAAGATTGTCCATATTTTTTTTTTGAGACACAGTCCTGCTCTGTCCCCCAGGCTGCAGTGCAGTGGCAGGATCTCAGCTCACTGCAAGCTTGGCCTCCTGGGTTCACACCGTTCTCCTGCCTCAGCCTCCTGAGTAGCTGGGACTACAGGTGCCCACCACCACGCCTGGCTAATTTTTTGTATTTTATTAGAGACAGGGTTTCACCGTGTTAGCCAGGATGGTCTCAATCTCCTGACCTTGTGATCCGCCCGCCTCAGCCTCCCAAAGTGCTGGGATTACAGGCGTTAGCAACCGCGCCCGGCCTGAGATTATCAATTTAAATGAGGCTCTCCTTCCTATGGGGTGAATTGTAAGCTCAGAGGGGTAAGAAGGTTTATTGAATTATAAATGTCCCAAATAATAGCACCTGAATTACTGCTACGATCTTCTCGGAAGTAAGAAATATGGTCAAGGGCAGCTGTATCTCTTACTCCACATCTCCTGGATGCAGGAATTTATTTTCTCACTGGAGCTATGAAGCTGGTACGGAGAATGTAGCCCATGATCACGGTCTGAAAAAGCAAAAAGAGTCCTAACTTCGTGGATGTCCTTGGGAGTGTAGCACACAGTCCCATGGCTTAGTAAGCTTTGTGGACATTGTTCCTGGAACAACCCTGGTGCTCTCCCGTAAAGTGGTGTGGCCTGTGAACGGGGAGCTATGTGGGTGATGAGGGGACAGTCCTCCCTGCTGTGGGGATCTTTGTTTAACCAGTACAGATGCAAAGTCAGCACTCAGCCCGTGTCCATCTCTTAGATCACTACATGGTGGGCTGGGCTATGTTGTACTGTGCTCTTCTTCCCTTTTTTCTATTAGGCTATTTCCACCTCTGCACAACACACTCTGTATCACTAACATGCCTCACTTTCATATGCCTGGTGTCTAAAGGTTCATTTCAGGTCTCTGTAAGCAGGAATTAGCCTACAACCCCATGATTAGAAGCTTTTATTTTCATACCTAGTGAACCTTCTACACTATGATATTGTCTATGCTGCAGCTTTTGGGCCTCTCACTGGACAAAAGAAATCCATGATGTTATAGCATCAGGGGACTGTGTGATGCCATGAATTCATGATGAAGTCTGCATAATAAAGAGAACTTAATTATCATAGGGTATTCTCAAAGGCTTTAAAAAACTTTGAAACTTGAACAAAAGAATCTCTGAACTAAGAAAACACTCCTAATGTAGAAATATTATTTATGTTCCCCATCACTGGTGTTTCTCAATCTTGTCTGGAAGTCATGTCTTCCAAAATGTCTCTAGTGAGATCCCACAAAGACACTACCACAAAGTGTCTGAAAATAGGGCCTTCTAACACATGTGGGGCAGGCACCTTTCTTTGAAAAAGTGGTTACTGATGTATGAACTGGTGACTGGGTAATGGAGCATATGATGGGAAAGAAGAAAATGGATGAGAGTCCCTGGAGCTTGATGAGGCGCCTGAAGCCTGAAGCAGGTGCCCTGTGTAGGAATGGGGATAATAAGGCAAGTACTTTGCCTTTCACTCCCTGCATCTCCACTCATCCTCTGATCCAAGGTTTCTTGTTGTTTATGTCCATCTGTGTTGGTATTTTTTTTTGTTCCTAAATAATACATTTTAAGAACATTTTTATTTGAAAATAATTTTAGTTTTACAGAAACTTGCAAAGATAATACAGTTTTACATAATCTACAGCTTCCTGAAATGTTAACAACTTATGTAACCAGAATGTATTTATGAAAACTCAGAAATTGACAGTGGTACAAAACTATTAACTGAAATACAGACTTTCTTAATATTTTGCCAGGTTTTCCACTGATGTCATTTTCTGTTCTAGAATTTAATTACATTTACTGTCAGGCATATTACCTATAGGTCGCTGTATAACATATAACCGAACAGCTTAGATGTTCAAACCCACACATAAATATTATTTAACATTTTCTCTGGGTCAGATGTCCCAGGCTGAGGTTTCAAGTGAAGCCTCCCCTGGGGAAGGATCCCTTTCCCAGCTCATGTTAGTGTTGGTAGGATTCAATTTTTTTCTAGGTTGTGATGACTTCACTGGTGAATTATTCTAACCCCTTTGAGAATTAATAACAATCCCTTATTAACTAATCTTTCAAGAAAAATTATAAAAACAGAGGAGTAGAGAACACTTCCCAATACGCCGCACGAAGCCCGTTTTCCCTGATAGCACAACTGGACAAAGAGATTTCAAGAAAGGAAAATTACAGACAAATACGCCCCATGAAACAGAGGCAAAAATTCTGAAGGAAATACTATCAAAATAAACCTGTAGCCTAATAAAAATATACATTATGAGCAAAGTCATTTGTCCCTGAAATATGTTTTCTTAAACATAAAAAAACTATTAGTGTAATACACTATATTAATAGAATGAAGGACAAAAGCTTCATAATTATCTCTAAAGATACAGAATAAGCAGTTGAAAAATCCAAAACACATTCAAGATAACAAGGCTGAGCAAATTAGGCATGGAAGGAAATTTTCTTAAGTGATAAAGGGCATCTATGAAAAACTCACACAACAACACAACATATGATGAATGTTTCAGTAATTTCTTCAAAAAATTAGCAACAGGACAAGGATGTATGCTCTTGCTACTTTTATTCAGTATTGTACTGGAACATGCAGCCAGGGTAATTAGGCAAGAAACATAAATATAAGACTTCTAGAATGAAAAGGATGAAGTTAAGCTATCTCTATTCATGAATGACATAATCCTGTGTATAGAACATCTTAAGGAATAGTGCCACAATAAATATACGTGTGCATGTGTCTTTATAGCAGCATGATTTATAATCCTTTGGGTATATACCCAGTAATGGGATGGCTGGGTCAAATGGTATTTCTAGTTCTAGATCCTTGAGGAATCACCACACCGACTTCCATAATGGTTGAACTAGTTTACAGTCCCACCAACAGTGTAAAAGTGCTCCCATTTCTCCACATCCTCTTCAGCACCTGTTGTTTCCTGATTTTTTAAAGATCGCCATTCTAACTGGTGTGAGATGGTATCTCATTGTGGTTTTGATTTGCATTTCTCTGATGGCCAGTGATGATGAGCATTTTTTCTTGTGTTTTTTGGCTGCATAAATGTCTTCTTTGGAGAAGTGTCTGTTCACATCCTTCACCCACTTTTTGATGGGGTTGTTTGTTTTTTTCTTGTAAATTTGTTTGAGTTCATTGTGGATTCTGTATACTAGCCCTTTGTCAGATGAGTAGGTTGCAAAAATTTTTTCCCATTCTGTAGGTTGCCTGTTCACTTTGATGCTGGTTTCTCTTTGAGAGATAGCATTGGGAGATATACCTAATGCTAAATGATGAGTTAATAGGTACAGTACACCAGCATGTCTCATGTATACATATGTAACAAACCTGCACGTCGTGCACATGTACCCTGAAACTTAAAGTATAATAATAATAAGAAAAAATCCTAAGGAAATCACTAAAATAAGATTAGAACCAAAAAATGAGTTCACTAACACTTTAGTATACTAGGGCAATAAAAATCAATTCTACTTCTATATATTGTCAGTTAATCTAAAGTAAAACATAGAAAACACTTCCATTTAAAATATTGTCAAAAAGAAATAGACACTTGGGGGCAAGGGGAACAACCTAAGAAATATAAAAATAAGGAGAGATTCTCAGTTTAAATGTCAAAGTATCCGTACATAAATTGTCTTCTTTAGTTAGAAACATTCTTTCCCATGGGGGTATGAATTTACAATTCTAAAACTACTCTACATGTATTTTGGACTCATTGATTATATAAAGGAGGACAACTATCTCACTGTTAGCGTGGGAGGTTACATACAAGTAGTGGGAATGGGGAAATTGATTCATATGGTCTTGAATTAGATCACAGGTGCTGGAAACATTAATAAGAATTCATGCTGAACTTTACATAGGAATAAATGGAGAAATGTTGTAGAAATGCATATACGTATGTGAGTGTGAGTTACATACATACATATAATCCTTTGCTCTGTCAGATGACAAAGCATAGAATTAACAGACGCCTAGCAGAAATGACAACACCATTGCCGAGACCTTTGTTTCTAATGCCATTCACCGAAAAAGGAACTAGGAATTTGCGGGAAAATGGTTAATGGCGTGGCTGGGAAGGGAATCAACACTATTAAGCTTAAGTACCTCGTAGTGCCAGAAAGTAAGAAAAAGTTAAACAACACAACCAACCAACACACTACACAAACCAAATCAAATAGCAATAATATGGGTATTTCAAAGTGGTAAAGCAGCTGACTGAAAGGACTTTCTAATGACCAGCACTAGCGCAATTTGAACAATACAATAAACTAGTCTAATCACAGTGGAAATAAATATTTATTATTTGCCAATATTCCACATAATATAAATAATTGATTAAATAAATGTAAAATAAATGCTGGAGAACAGATACATTGCCTATGGTAATGAAATACAAATGATACTATAGAAGTTCTGCCCTAAGGAGGTGGAGAATAATTCCCCAATGTTAAGTATGCGCTGTGCATGTGACGTTTTTTTCAAAAAGTACGACATCGAAAGGGGGAAAATTAATTTTACCGTGGAGAAACTGGACCCACACTGCCTCATCCAGGTGCTCAAATTAGTATCAATAGTGATAAAAGCATTTTGAGAATATATGCCCATGGTATAATGAGTATTACACTCACCCCTGTCTCTTCTTCCACATCTACAACTTCAGTCTAATTGTTAGTAAAAACAATCATAGAAATCCTAAATGGAGGATGTCAATGCCACGAAAAACATGGAAATTCAGAGAAACTGCAGAGACAAAAAAAGCTTAAGGAGACATGATATCTAAATGTGTTATCCTGGAAGAGATCCTAGAACAGAAAACAAACATTAAGTAGGAAAAAAAGAAATCTGATTAATATGTGGATATCAGTGAATGAGAATGCATAATGTTGGTGTGTTAATTGTGGCAAATACCCATGCTCATATAAGAGGTTAATAATGATGGAAACTCTGTGTTGGTTGCATATTAACTCTCCATGCTGACTATGCAACTGTTCTGTAAGTCCAAAGCTAACATAAAATAGAAAAGTTTTTTTCTTTTTTTAAAAATTAACTGCTGACCTTAACAAACTGAATATTATCAATATTGTCGATGCCCCAAATGTGCAGCTCCCCAGTTTGATGGCATTTTTTACCCCCATGAAGGTTACTATTATTTTCAGTTTCCTCTTTGTCATTTCCTTTTTATATTATTTTTATGTCTAGGTTTATATTTCTAAATAATATGTTGTTGAGTTTTCATTATCTTCAAATTAAGATAAAGGTGTTCAAAACAAGTCTATAATTCTATTCAAATAATGAAAAATCATCAGATGAATCCACATTGTGATGATTCCTATAAAATACCTGACCAGTTCTTTTCTTAGAGGCTCAGATTCTTCAAGATAAACGAAGACTGGGAAACTGTTGCACATCAGACAGGACCTGATGTGGCTGGTAGATCTTAAGATGGTGCCCAATGATCCCCACCTGCCAGGGTGCATGACCTTGTATTGTAATCCTCTCCTTGTGAGTATGGGCATGAAATGTGACTTGCTTTCATACAACACAATAATACAAGAATATTAGATGTCACACGACTGATCATGTCACGTAAAGTTGTGATTTTTTTCTTTTTTGTCTTGCTAGCAAGCTCTTTGCCTTGATGGCTTTGATAGAGCATTCTGCCACGTGGGAGAAGTCCACATGGGAAGAAACTGAATGCAGCCTCTGGTCAACAGCCAGCAAGGAACTGAGGCTGCCCTAGAGTTTGCAATTTAAGTTTCTGACTAATCCAAGCCCCCTTTTAAGTAACAATATATCACATAAGATGTAGTGTGAACACCTTACAGTAACAGAATAACCCACATTCATTCCATCACTTATTGCAGTTATTCATCTTACTTATATAAGCATAAATGCACATAAATATTTGTATGTATATATGTATGCACACACAATGATATATATTTAACCATATCTAATCAAATATATTCATACTACTATTGTTTTTAACAAGCTGTTCTTTGTTAGATTAATTAAGAATAAAATTATTACCTAGATTAGCCATTAAAAAGGTAAAAAAAAAGATACGCTAAGAAATGAGATGAACTGATATAAAGTGCTCAAAACAACAAAAGGTAGAAAATGAGTGAAATACAAAAATAGGAACAAAGACAAACCAACAACTGAAAGATAGTAACAAATTTGGTAGATTTTTAATCCAACTATATCAATAATCAATTTAAATGTCAATGTTCTAAATGCACTACTTAAAGGACAGAATGCATCAATAAAAGAGGGCATGGGATAGAAAGAATAAATTCATGTAACATGTTACAATCTGAGAAACACGAGAACATCAGGAGGTTTGCAGGAGAATATCAAAGAACTTTCAAGAAGTCACGCAGATAGGCCAAGCATGGTGGCCAACACCTGTAATCCCGGCACTATGGGAGGCCGAGGAGGGTGGATCACTTGAGGTTAGGAGTTTGAGACCAACCTGGCCAACATGAGGAAACCCCATCTCTACTAAAGATACAAAAATTAGCTGGGCATGGTGGCACCTGCATGTAATCCTGGCTACTCAGGAGGCTGAGGCAGGAGAATCGCTTGAACTCGGGAGGCAGAGGTTGCAGTGAGCTGAGATGGAGTCACTGCACTCCAGCCTGGGCTACAAGAGCAAAACTCCATCCCAAAAATAAAATAAAATGATAAAATAAAATTAAGACCAAAACTGACAGCTTACAGGTAGGGGATTTTAAAGACACAGAGGCAGGGGTAATACATAGTCATAAATTAATATATTGAGGTTACACATTGGTTTTAGACTAAAAGGATGAAGTATCTTGAAGTGGAAGCTTACAGGTCATAGGGGGATTCAAAGATTTTCTGAGTGTGATTATTCAAGAAAGTAAAATTTGTCAGAAAATTTGGAATCTGCAGAAAAATAATGGTATGTCTGGCTCATAGACATAACATCCTGTAGGCCCCTCAGGAAGAAATTCAGAATAAAGAATGGCAGAGTTCATTTCATAGATCCCCTTTATCTGAGGTCTATGTGCCAGTGGATCCATTTGGTAGAGGCGCAGCTTTCTGAACAACAACTCAGGGACATATGCTAAGCTTTGATTTTTAGTTTCCATAGGGAACCCCATATTCCCATGACTCTCCATTCCTTGCTACTGTTTTAACTTCTTGCTTGTGAAGTGGCTCGTGTACTTCTCAGAGGTAGAGAGGTGCCTGGAATTTCTGTGAAGGGACTCAAGATTTTCCTTTATTTCCATGCTTCGGGTGGTACACAGGCCCCTATAAGGGGTCCCTGCACCTTCTCAGGACCTAAATGAATCCTCATCTGCTTGTGGGACTCCTGAATTTCTTCTACCATTTTCTTGTTTTTGTACGGCTTGCTGCTTTCAGGTAAGAATATTCCTGTTCAACCTTGGAGGATGAATCTCATCTTCACTGGCCAAGACATTTGGATGACTATTCATATATGAATTATGTCAAGAGTGCCAAAGTTCGGTATAAAATAATACACATCAGTTGATCCACTATTATTTAATAGAAGGTGGGTATATACTGACTATGTCAATGAAAATGGAGATACAAATAGTTGCCAGCAGAAAAATATTTTTAAAATATTAAGCTAAATGAGAAAAAATAATAAAATATTTTAACACCCTTCCTAAAACTGATTGTTACAAATATATTTGCTGAATAGAACAAAATTATGTGTACATTTTCTAAGTGGCATTTTAAAAATTTGTCACTGAGACTATTTATTACTGACTCAATTTCAGAGCCATTCTTGGTCTGTTTAGGGATTCAGTTCCTCCCTGGTTCAGTCTTGGGAGGGTGTATTTGTGCAGGAATTTTTCATTCTTTCTAGATTTTCTAGTTTATGTCCATGGAGGTGTTCATTACATTCTCTGATGGTTGTTTATATTTCTGTGGGGTCGGTGGTAATATCACCCTTGTTGTTTTTATCAACAAGGTTTTATCAAATAAAACCAAGATTGCATTTATTTGAATCTTCTCAACGTCACTCATTACTAGAGCAATGCAAATCAAAAACAACATCAAATACAATCTAACACCCGCCAGAATGGCTATATTAAAAAGTCAAATATAAGAAATAACAAATGGTCAAACAAATAACAGAGACTGGCAAGATTGTGGAGAAAAAGGAACACTTATACAATGTTGGTGGGAGTGTAAATTAGTTTAACCACTGTGGAAGACAGTGTGGTGATTCCTAAAAGACCTAAAGACAGAACTTCCATTTGACCCAACAATCCCATTTCTAAGTATATATCCAAAGGAATATAAATCACTCTGTTATAAAGACACCTGAACACATATGTTCACTGCAGCACTATTCACAATAGCAAAAACATGGAATCAATCTCAATTGTCCATCAACAATAGACTGTATAAAGAAAATGTGGCACATATATACCATGGAATACAACGCAGCTATAAAGAAGAACCAGATGATGTCTTTGCAGGGACATGAATGGAGCTGCAGTCCATTATTCTTAGCAAGCTAACACAGGAACAGAAAACCAAATACCTCCATGTTCTCTTATAAGTGGGAGCTAAATGATGAGATCACATGGACACATAGAGGGGAACAACACACTCAGAGTTCCTGAAACCATCGGTCTGGTTTCCAATGAATGGGGCAATCAGACACACAAGCACACCAAGGCTTAACCATCCTGGCCACTGGAAGGGAAAGAAACTACCCAGGAATGCCACCTGCTTCCAACTAGCTGATCCCATGATAGGGGCTCTAGGGAATTTCTCTTTACCTGCCGAGATGTTTTTGTCTTGGGGAACTTCCTTTCTCTTCTTCCCACTGCACCAGCTGCTGACTACACTTCCTTACCACATGGCAAGTGACATCTGAAGAGGCTGACAGACTTCAGAGCTGGGTAAGGCAACCAGAATACCCCTGAACTGCCTCTGCCTGTTCTGTGATGTCACCTGAGCTCTGCTCTGTTTAGATACAGCTGATTGTGACATCATCTGGGCGTGTATGTTATCTGTATCTATGTCAAGACCTGGGCTTTGCTCCACTTGGAGTCAGCTGATTGGCGGGAGGGCATCTGAAATTGAGAGGAGGTTTCAGGACTTTTACCCAGACCTTTAGTGGGGATCTGTCCGGGACTGTGCAGTCTGAATCTGCAACTGTAAAAGTGTACAATATCTACATTTAGGCCCCCATCTCTGTCTCTCTCTCCTCTTCCTTCTTTCCTCTGCAAGGTGATCTGCATAAGCCCCACTCCATCCAGGATCCAGCCCTGGAGGGAAACAGCCTCCACTGCTCTAGCAGGGTCACTCTTTTTAGGGCCCTGGAGCACTTCTCACAACAGTGCCAGTTTTTCTGGGGAAAGGAAGGATGCGAACTATTCCATAGGTTATCTAAAGGGCTTGCCACCATGCTTATGGTGCTTAATGTTGTTTATGTGAAAAAAAGCTTAACAGCATATGGGATAAGTATTTAGGCAGTCCTGACTCCAACCCCTCTGCCCTCTTTGTGTGCCTAATTTACCATTTAATTTGTTGCCATTCAGTTACCCTCTACTAGGGTACTAAGTACAGCAGAACATGGACCTGGGATGAAGTTGATGTGCTGTTGGGGCCGGTCGGGGCGTGGCGGGGCGGTGGTGGGGGAGTGCTGTGCTAGCTGGTGCTAACCACTAGCTGCCCAAGGAGTTTATTCTCTGATCTCTTTGGCTGTCCCAGCTGTGTGGTGAGATTTGCACAAGTGTTCCTTTTAGGACCATGAGTGGTACTAATTGCACTACTTATAAGAAGCTAGAAAAGTCTTTCCAACCCATAGAGCTCTGGTTGAAGGATATGAGCAGTGTAGAACAGAAGACAGACAACAAATAAAAGTTGTCATCACTGTTTCAACAGGAATGAGCAGTATGGATATAGAAACCAAGTCAGGAGGGAAACAAGGTCTCTATCCCCTCTGGGAGGCCCCTGGGGCATACCCTAGCTAAGTGTAGATCCTATAGCTATGAGCCCTTGACTAAGAGAAAAACCGTCTATTATTGCAGTGCTGTTTGGACTGTGGACAAGTTAGGTTATAAATTTTGACCTCTGAACGGACGCAACCAATACTAGTCTTTAATGCAGTTAGACTCATTTTGTCAGAGGTCTGGAAAATCAGAAAAAATACCATATGTCCAAGCCTGCACGCTTTTTGAAAATCAGGATTCATACCATGAGGGAAGACGCCAGCTGCCAGCTGTACCAAGGGACAGAATGGAAAAAGGACTCTTCACAAGCCAGATAGCCAAACTCAGGCAGAAAGCAATGAAGAAGAATTAGGACTTTTAAATGTCCTACACCCAAGCTGTTTTAGCAGCTCCAACCACCACAGCCAGAACGCACCTGGCCTCTGCTCCACCCCTAACAGCTCCCACTGCGGTGGGAGCCCTATGGGGCCCTTAGCATTGGCCTCTGCATTGGCCCGGATTGCCTTGATGCTACCAAGCGAGGCATCAGACCAATAAGAGGGAGCTACTCTGCCACCTCAGTATAATAAGAGAACAGAGATGGCCTCTCCCTCCAGTGCTTGACAGGGAACACGATTTAGCAAGGAAGTGCCATGGCCGGAGCAAGGGAATTACCATTTACAAGGACGGCCATGGGTGGCTTGGATGCGAGTGGGCAACCTGTCAGACATTACTGGACATCCAGCCCATTTTCAACATCTAACTTGTGAAACGGAAAAACTCCACCCCACTTTATAGAATGGATCCCCAGAAAATGACTGCTCTCTATGTGTCTATCTGTGCCACCCACCAGTGTACCTGAGCAGATGTGTAGTCTCTCCTAAATATGCTTCTGGCTGCAGACCAAAGAAGATCCAGAGTCTTGGTGCCTCCATGAAACAAATCCAAATACCCCAAACCTGAAGGCACCATTCTGGATGCAAACCCTAATTGGGGCTCCAATTGATAAGGGGACATGGCCCATCTGGAATATTCACAAACATTCTTCATGTTTGGACTCAGGAAAGGGGTACCAAAACAGGAAGCCTCACTAGGAATGGCCCCTTCCCCACTCAAGAGACAAAGAAACAGAAGTTTCAACCATAAATGTGGAATGAACAAGGAAGGCTCTGCATCAGAAAAATCGAGGCAAGCCTCTGGAACACAGCCAGTGTGCCTAGTGTAAGGAGAAAGGCCACTGAAAGGATGACTGTCCCAAAAGAAAGGACCATGGGGCCAGAAAAAGGAGGAATACGATGAGGAAGAAGCTCACAGTCAAATAATGGAGCAGGGTCACTGCTCTGACCACGGACAGTGATGCCTGGGGGCTCTCCTTAATCCCTCAGAGACAATTAAAATTTCCCCACAGGAACCCTGGGTACAACTGACAGTGAGGAAAAAGTTAATTGATTTCCTGGTTGATACTGGGCAAACTATTCAGTTTTAACACTTTATGAGCAAAAAGCACCAAAATGATCATACCTGTGATAGGAGTTGCAAGAATAATGCAACAAAAGGCTTTCCTACAACCTTTAGAATCCAAACTAGAAAGTTTGGACCTAAGGCACTGCTATTTCTATATGCAAGAATGCCCAATTCTCTTGCTGGGAAAAGACCTATTATGCAAATTAAATATGCAAGTAATTTATCCCCAGAGAAACAACTAATCTGCAGGTCCTGCTAGAGCAAGCACTGCAAGTAACATGTTATTCACTTGCCTTAAGAAGAAACAAGAATTCTCCCTTAGAAGTCTATGAGAGAGTGTGTAATTGTGAATAGGCAGACGGAATCCCAGGAAAAACAAGAAATACATAGTGAGTGCACATAGAAAAAATAGAAGGGGCTACTGTGCCCTGGGTGGCGGGGGGGAGGCGAATAAAAAATCAGTATACATTAAGAAAGGAAGCCTTAGAAGGAATACAGCCTTAGAAGGAATACAAATTTTTGAATACAGTCTTTCAAAAATTTCAGAAGTAGATTGATTCATCCATGCAGATCCCCATATAATAGCCCTATCGTGCCTGTAAGGAAGCTACCCTTCAACAAATATCAATTTGCCTAAGACCTGAGAGCCGTTAATAAAATAGTCTTGGATATTCACCCAATGGTGCCTAACCCATATACTCTACTGACTGCTATATATAGATAGTATGAATGCTTTTCAGTGCTAGATCTGAAAGATGTTTTGTTCTGCATTCCAGTTGAAGAAAAGACCCAGCAATTATTATTACTTTTTTAATGACAGGACCCAGAGACTAAAACAACCTTTCAATACTGTTAGACAGTGGGGCCTCAATGTATTAAAAAAAATGCACCAACAATTTTTGGGGAAATACTGGCAAAAGACTTAGGAGACCTACAACAAGATTAAGAAGCCTGGTTACCACACATAGATAATTAATAGCAGCCACAACTATAGGAAAAGCTTAGCTGACCTCATCTTAGTTCTAAATCACCTGGTACAATATGGATACAAAGTATTCCCAGGAAGCCCCAAGTTAAGTAAGTAGAAAGTAACCTGTCTTGGCTTTAGGTTAAAGCAAGGCCAAAGGAGCCTGGTCTGGTAAAAAAAAAAAAAAAAAAAAAAAAAAAAAAACAAAAAGCAGGCAATAGCAGCCATAAAGCCCCAGAGAACGGGGGCAACCGCGGGGATTCCTAGAAAGGGTTAGCTTCTGCCAGATTCGATTCCTAAGTTTGGACTAATGACTAAAACCCTTTATGAATCCCTAAATGGACTAGACTCAGAGGCCCTTCTCTGGCCATCTAAAGGTCAACAAACATTTTATACCATCAAAGAAAAGCTGATATCAGCCCCCACACTGGGATACCAAATTCCCAAAAGCTGTTCAAATTCTATATCCAAGAGAAACAAAGCATAGGTCTGGGTGTGCTAATCCAAATCCTGGGAGATGCCCCACAATCCATGGCCTATTTCTCTAAACAATTACACCAAAGATTAAGGGATGGCTCCCCTTCCTCTGGGCAAGAGCACACATTGTGAAGTCCTACAGGAAGTAGAACAATTTACTCTGGGACAGCCAGTTACCGTATTTGTGCCCCATCAGGTGCTGACTCTGCTAGAACAAACAGGAGGCTACTGGCTCACTGTGGGGTGAGTGGGCAGATACCAGGCCATCCTCTTACATGATCCAAATATCACCCTACAAACCACCATGGCTCTAAACCCTGCCACACTGCTCTCAGCCACCGAACACAATCCTGGGTTAAAGCATGACTCTAAATCCTTGATGCAGCTTATTCAAGTATGCTGAACCTGTCAAACTAGACAATGAGTGCTCTGGACTTGAACTACACTGATGGGAGCAGCTTAATGAAAGATGTACACAGAGCCAGATGTGCCACCGTGACTACCAAAAGGGTAATAGAAGTCCATACCCTTCCGGCAGCTACCTCTGCACAAAGAGCTGAGTTAATTGCTCTTACTTGAGTCTTTAGAACTGTCCCAGAAAAAGGGATTCTGATTCCATACATGCATTCCTGGTAATGCACGCCCATCGGGTGTTTTGGAAACATAGAGGAGGCTGCTTGAAATGAGAAAATACGGACATTAAACACCCAAAAGAAATTCTGGCCCTAGTAGAGGCAACTGACTTGCCTGCCACTGCATCATGCACTGCCCCACCACCAGAGATAATTCACAACCAAAGGTAACCAGGCAGCTGGCAAAGCTGCAAAATGAGCTGCTCGGGAGGCACAGGTCTGGGACATGAATACTCCATTTGGAATTACTAGGTTTTAAACCCCATTACACCGAACAAGATCCCAAACGTGCCCAAGCCAGGGGTTTGAGAAAAGGGATTCCAACTCCCCCTGGAAAACTGACACTCACAGGATGATGAAACCCCAAGGCCTTGGTTTATCCAATCTCAAAACATCTACATGAAGGAACGTACTATGGGAGTGATGTCCTCGCCAACCTAGTGCAACCACATCTCAGTAGCCCACAATTCCAAGATATCATTCAGAAAATTACACACGGATGCATCTTGTGCACTACAAACAATCCCAAGATGGAATGTAGCCCTCCTAAAAAGGGGATATAGTACAAAGGGCTGAGTCCCTTCAAAGACTGAAAGGTGGGCTTCACTCAGATGTCTACCTGGTTATGTGAGCCAAGGAAAGATCTGAAGTTATTAATAAGAGAAAAAGGAGGAGAGTTAAGCGATACACTTTTATCAACATGAAGTTCTCAATAAATTCTAGAGTAGTAAGTATATACTTGATCTTTGCTGAAACTACCTGCATGGGTGTAGACAGGGGCTTTCCTCCAAAACGAAACAGACTGCTGGGTCTGTGGGGGAGGTACCCCTTTCTCCTCTGCTGACTTGCCATTGCACATCCAAGCAAGCACCTCGAGCACTTGGAGTTATGTTTATACGTAGGACAAGAGTAAGAATTCTCACCCATTTCCCATCTATGACTACAGTACCACTCACCATGAGTGCTCCACTTTTGGGGAAACCTGGAAACATATCTTCCATCTGGCTCATAAGCAGGTTAATATCACCCCCTCTATAGACTATGCTGTACATGACAACATAGGATGGCTGATGATGGTGCAAATTCAGGCAATGGGTCATGCACCTCTACACATCCAAAAACACAAGAGCAACACACCCCACACTAGCAGCCAGGCTAAGGGATGGTTACCTCTTAGTAATGTGGCCAAACCCATCAACTGACTAATCATATGTGGCTAGGATGGCAAAATAGTATCAAGCTACATGGTGGGGCCTATCCTTTCTCCTGGAGTTAGCTATGGGTCTGAGGCAGTCATAGCTGGTCTTACTTACCTTACAGCTGGACCGGCAGATACACCTGGGGTGCCCTTACCTACCAGGACACATCCTGTCCCATCTGGACTCTCTCCCTGACGACTGGGAAAATGTGAAGGACAGACAACACCATCAAAAATGGGCACCCTGTTGGTTCTACTCACTAGCTGTCTTTTCCTCCCAGACAGCAAACATAGATGTAGAATTATAAGTAGATAACCTAAGTATAGAGCTGCTGCCTGTAATAACACCTAACCCAACATTACCCTTCTCACTGAAAACACTCGCAGATTAGACAAGTGGCTGTATAGAACCCCATGGCCTTAGATATCCTAACTGCAGCCCAGTGGGACACTTGTGCATTAAGACTGAATGGTGCATAAATACACCAGATTATTCTCACGATATAATCCAAGCTATGCATGCACTGAATACTCATATTTCTGCTATAAATGTCCTCTCCCAGGATCCCACAATATCATGGTTTAGTCGACTTCCAGGTCCATGGAAGACTCTCATATACAGTATAATTGGTATTCTGCTCCCTGTTCTGTTTGGTTGCTGTAGTTTTTGTCACTTTTCAAGATCTGTATGGAGATGCAGGAAAAACTTTCCCAGAAACTTTTGGTTCCCCACACTATAATGCTCTAACACATTCTCACATTAGTCTGGGAACCCACGAATATTTCCAACTCCAGGTAAACAGATTCCAATCTGATACCCTCTAACTGTGCCCCTTTTCAGCAGGAAGAAGCTAGATGGACTGTGTTGCCACTTTCCTTGGAAATGGAATGGTCTTTTATGGTGAAGGATTGTAATTGAGTCATATAGCTTCAAAATACATTTAAGTTTTTTCTTTCTCCTTTTTTTTCTTCCCAGTCTCAAGATGTAACCTTGAAGCAAACTGCAGAAGCCATTGCTTTAGTCTTCAAGTAGAACCATGAAATATACTTTGGAACCACACCCCCTTCGGTTTCCCACTGTACACGTCCATGCCTTATACACATTTACCTAACTGTATGCTGGCTAAACTCACACCATGCATACTTATCTAACTATATGCCTGTCAAAAAATACCAGAGGCTAATTTAAAATGAACCAAACATAAAGGCCCAGCTGTGGAATTGTCTCTCTCTTAAAGATTGCCTCAGGATGGATATCTACAGCCTGGAACTATCAAGATGGTATCAGTCTGTCTCGAGTAAGACACAGACTCCCTGAATCTGCACATCACCTGCATGCCTCCCATGTAATGCGTCACGCTTCCCTTTCTTTAAACCCCTGCCCTCTGCCCAAAATTTTGAACTGGTCTATAGAGGTGTAATCCAGCCATTTCCCTACTGCTGAATTTGAAAAATAAAGTCACTTTCCTTTGACCCTGCACGTCCTCTTTGTCATTGCTTTTGCATGCATAGAACAGCTGGACCTGCACTCAGTTACATGTGTATCATAAGAGGAATGGAATATGGCATTTTTCTCCCTGACTGCCAATGACTACATGGAAACAGGGGTGCCTCATCTTCTGTATTATGGTATATTATTGAAGAAATAGACTTATACTTTCACATAAGCTGATCAACTCCATTTACCCTCTAGCTAGCAGTGGAGGCAAAAACAACTCAATCTTGAAAGCTAATTCACCATGTTGACTTCTGATTAACCCCTGTTCTGGGACTGCCTCTAAGCTTTCTGTATAAATATTTTTTTCCTTTATATGCACACTGGGGGATAAGATTTCTATTGTGTCTACTGTTCCTTGTGAAAATCATTATTTTTCTCTAAATCCTGCCCTTAGGTCAGAACCACCATGACTATAAATCCTGTGCTTAGATTCACATGGCATTTCTGCCTTTCCCTGACAGGTAGACTTCAGTTTTCCTACACATTCCTTCCCCATGGTATATAAGTCCTGTGTGAGACTCAAATATCTGTTCATAAATCCCTACTAAATGTTTCTTTCTAAGAGACTGGTTATATCAGCCTCTATCTTCAGCTGTTCAGCTTCCTCATGTTTTAGTGGTAGGTTTGCAAAGACCTGCCCTCCATGGACTGCTAACTATTAAAAATGGAGAGCTTTTAGTGGAGTACTGAAATCCCTATTTTATGTATGTAGAAATAATTTAAAAAATGATGGTCCTAGAAATCTGTTGAGGAGGAAGCAGAATTGTAATGAATTAGATGAATGTTTCCCTGACCTAGATTTAACATTTCAGGAAGACTGAATAAAGGGAACATGAAATCATGATCTCAATTATACGAGCCATCCATCCATTGAACTCTGACTTCCAATCAGTCTAAAGTGTGGATGGAGAAAGAGTGTTAGGTACTTGCCTCATGAAGAGGTCTAGGAATTTGGCTTGTTTGCAGTGATAGTTTTTGAAAATTGTAGTGTCCAGGACAGCCACTCTGAAACCTGGTAGCTTAGTATATTATGGGAAATCATAATTTTTGTGCTGTCAGAGAGGTTGTTTGGGAACTTGGAGCACCACACGATGTCATCTGTGCCTGTGACATCATTTAGCACAGCTTTGAATTTAGTGCCTGTTTTCTTTTAAACCTCATCTCTCCAGTCTCCATCTCCCTGATATGCCACATTGAGATGGGTTACACCTTACATGCATCTACTTATATCTAACTTATGGCTTGCCATTCTAGTTTTTTTTTAATTGCTTCCTGGTTTGGTGAAGCACAATCTTCACACTCTTCATCATGATAGATTAGAAAACATGCATTGAAATGAAGATAAAAAGGGATTTGACAAGTTACGTAAGTGAGATAGTATCTCCAGTTCAAATGAAATAAATGGAAACACTCACCATGTTTTAAAATAGGAACCTTAAATGAAGCTGTCATGTCTCAAGTAATAAAGTATGGGCTTAAAGAAGTTAGTTTTCTTCAATCACAAATGCTCAAATAACACCACGTAACAGTTATCCTCATCTAAGAATGAGAAATGACATCCATGAAGCTGAATGTCTCTTCCAACTTTCTAGGTCACAAGAGCTCATTTTCTGACTGTCACTATTACCGTGGTGTGGACAATAGACCTCATGTTTAGAGACCAAAAAACAAGTCAACATTATACATGGCCATGGGTGTGCAGAATGAAGTCTGATGTCTTTGTGGGTTTTTAGGCATGGTCCCTGGAAACAACCCTGGTGCTGTCCAGCAGCGTGTTGAACAGGAAGTTGTGTGTGCGGTGAGTGGAGAGTCCTTCCTGCTGTGGGATTCTTTGTTTAGCCAGCACATATGCAGAATCACTACTCAGCCTCTGTCTATCTCTTAGATCACTGCTGGAGGGTTGGGGATATGTTGTATTTTCTTCCTTCTTATCCTTCCTTCCGTTTTTTCCCTCTTTCCTTCTTTCCCTCTTTTCTCTTTCTCTTTCTCTCTCTCTCTCTCTCTTTCTTTCTTGGGTCTGACTTTATTGCTCAGGCTGCAGTGCAGTCACACACTCATGGCTCACTGCAGCCTTGACCTCTTGGGCTCAATCCAACCACCTGCCTCAGCCTCCTGAGTAACTGGAACCATGGGTGTGTGCCATTATACTCAGCTAATTTTTCTATTTTTTTGTAGAGAAACAATTCTCCATGTTCCCCAGGCTGGTCTTGAACTCCTGGACTCAAGCAATCCACCCACTTTGGCTTTCCAATGTGCTGGCATTACAGGCATAAGCCACCACACCTGGCCTCTTGTTTTGCCTCTATCAGGTTTTCCATGCCTGTGCAAAACCTATTTTGAATCTCACCTGCCAAAAATCTGGTGTGAAAAGATTTTTTTGTCCAGGTCCAGATAAGTAGAAACTGCCAAAACCACCAACCACCATATATATATATATATCTTTTGTATTCCGCTCACCTGCTGTCATGATGATGCCCATTTGGTGACTTTGGGATTGCTGATATAATTCTGGTATTCAACAGAATACAAGGTTCCATAAAATTCCTGATGGAGAATATGGTGTGAAAAGAAATTATCACAGAATTCCAACAAGGCTTGAAGGCAGAATTATCTTTAGAAAACTAAGCCTATATTAAAAAAACCATAATATGAAAATATAATTTATATTTCTTGTCACTAACATTCCTCAATCTTGGTCTTTGGTATCCAGAAACTTTGTTTGCCAAAATATGTTCAGTGGGATCCTGTAGATATGTTCCTAAATGATATCTGGAAATGGGCCTTTCTGGGGTATGTGAGGCATAGGCAAATATCTCTGAAAACAGAGAGGTTACTGACACTCAAACGAGTTACTTGGTAATAAAGAGTGTGATGGGGAGGTCAAATATGGACAAGAGTTCCTTGAGTTTGATAGTGGCTTCCTGAAGTAGATGGATGTATGTATGGAAGGGTAAATTTATGCGGAAATCTGCTTGGCTATTTTTTTTCTATATGTCCATTCACCTTCTGAGGCCAGTTTTTTTTTTTGAGTCTTGGTCTCCCTCTGTTTCCCAAGCTGGAGTGCAGTGACACAATCATGGCTCACTTCAGTTTGGAACTCCTGGGCTCAAGCAATCCTCCCAAGTCAGCCTCCCCAGAAGCTGGGATAACATATGCATGCCTGTCTTTTTTAATTAAAAATAAAAAATCAAAGATTTCATTTTAAAATAATTTTAGATATACATAAAGATGCAAACATAGTACAGCTAGTTTTACATACCCAGGAGTTTACTAGAATGTTAACATCTTATTTATATACCCATAATGTATTTATGAAAACTAATAAACTTACAGTGGCTTAAAATTATTAACTGAACTACAGACTTTCTTCTGAGTTTACCAGGTTTTCTAGTAATGCCATTTTTCTGTTCTAGAATCTAATCCAGGGTAGTATTAGAAATTAAATGTGCTATCTTTTGTATTAGTTATCAGTTGCTGCACAACAAATTGCCACATAGTGTGGTGGCTCAAAATCACACACACATTACTTACAGTTGCTCTGGGTCAGGAATCCAGGTGCAGATGATGTCCAAGGCTGAGGTCTCAACTGAAGGCTCATCTGGAGAAGGATACCCTCAAAGTTCATGTGATAGTTGTTAAGATTCTATTTCCCACTCTGGACAGATCACGGTGGGTCAAACTTGTAATACCAATGCTTTGGTAGGTTCAGGCAGGAGGATTATTTGAGGCTAGCGGTTCAGGACCAGCTTGGGCAACATAGTTAGAACCTGTTTCTACCACACAAAAAAAAAAAAAGAAGGAAGAAAAGAAAAGAAGAAAAAAGACTAGCCAGACATGGTGGCATGTGCCTGTGGCCCCAGCTGCTCAAGAGGCTGAGGCAAAAGGATTGCTTGACCCCAGGAGTACAAGTCTGCAGTGAGCTATAATCATGCCACTGTGCTCCAGCCTGGATGCAGAGTGAGACCATGTCTGTGAAAAAAAAAAAAATTCTGACTTGGTCAAGAAGACATCACCAGTAAATGATTTCACATCTTCAAATAATTAATACCAATTTATCATATATTTTTCAAAAAATAAACAGTAAACCCCAAGCCTGTGGCACCTAGCAGTGAAATGAGGAGCAAGCAACAGAGCCAAGCATTTTGAGATAATGTGGTCTTGTCCCTCCGTTCATCAGCCATCATCACCTGCAATTCAAATTCCACTTCCCAGAGAGGGAGGAAACTGGTGGCAGCCACATGTGCAGCACAGCAGTGTCGGCTCCAGCAACACCGCAGTCCCCAGGGTGTGCCTCTGGCTTCACGGAAGTCACCTGCTGCACTGGTTTGCCAACTGTTTGTTTTTCTAAGTCCTCATCTGGGAATAGGTAACAACTTTAATAATAATATTTAAATCCTTGTTTTGTTCAACTTTTAAGTTTTTAAAAACTCTGATTTTCTATTTTTTATAGATATTTATGAAGGCTCACAAAATGTGTCACTTCAAATGTCTACATGTTAGGTCTCCTAAGCATACAAACTAAATTGACCTTAATGAAATACCAGAATTTAAATCTTATATTTCTTCTAAATAATGAGCACCTGTTTGTCAACCCATATTTTCATCTTTGTCTATACTTGTAGGTAGTGTATTTAAAGAAAGAAATATGCAAAACAATAAAATCATATTAAAAAGAGTAATTTATCACCCACCTTTCTCTCTCCGTTTCCAGTGTATTGTAAATCTCCATCTATGTAGCCCAATTACATATCTTTATTACTCTGATTTGGTTTTATTCACTTATACAATATAATTGTTTGCAAAGTCTGAAAATTATCTTGAAAAAATGTACATTTTTTCTCCTTTTCATGTGTTCCATTCTATTTCTGCTAAATAAATTTAGACCTTTCACATAAAAACAGTAAGAGCAACATGAAGAATAGATCACTTTTCAATGTGAATTATCAGCCTTATACCACAGTTAGACAAAGTTACTGAAGAAAAACTATGATCAATATGACTTATGAACATAAACACAAAAATTAAAGGAAATACTATTAAAACAAATAACAGACATGTAAAAATTTATAAATTTTGACGAAGGTATACATCTTACAAATGCAAATTTGGTTCAACATAGAAAAAGAATTAGTGCCATAAACTATATTAAGAGATAAGGGACATAATACACATGGTCATCTTAAAAGATGAGCAATAAGCACTTGCTAAATTGAAATTTCATTCCTTATAAAATCATGCAACAAGTTAGGCAAATAAGAAAAATTTCCCCATCATGAAAGCACAGAAAACCTCACATGACATCCTAAAAGTTCTGGAAGCTCAAACACTTTCTTGTAAAATTAGAAACAAGAGAAGGATATCACTTTCACAGTTTTAGTCACCACTGTATTGGAGGATGTCCCCAACATAATTGGTGTAGAAAATAAACATAACGCAGTCCGATTGGAAGGAAAGTCAAATTATGTCTCCAAATGACATGATCCTGCCTATAGACATCATAAAAACTCTAATAAAACATAACAAAATATGAAAAAAGGGATAAGCAAGCTTGTAGTACAGCTTAGTACAGGTCAATATACAAAAACAACTATATTTTTATTTATTAGCAATTAACAATCTAAAAACAAAATTTCAAAAACCATTTCATGTAAAATGGCATAAAAGTTAAATACCTATGAATTAATTTGATAAAATAAGTATAAGATACATATACTGAGGACTACAAAACATATCAAAGATATTAATACAATTATAAATTAAATACATTGAGCTTTCACTGATTAGAAAGCTTAGTATCATTAGGTTGCTGATACTTTCCAAATATATCTAATGCAATCCCTAGCTAAATCCTAGGTGACATTTTCTCCCCTAATTGGCAATTTTACTCTAAAATTCATATATAATGAAATAGAATTCCAGAACAGACAAAATAATTTTGAAAAAGAACAAAGTTTGTGTAGTAAAATGCTACTTTCTGATTTCAAAACATACTACAAAAGCAATAGTAATCAAAATTGTGTTAAGGATATGGAACAACAAAATAACCAGAATAGCCATAGCTATCCTAAGCAGAAAGAACAAAACTAGAGGAATTACATTACCTGACTTCCAATTATACTAGAGACCTATAGTAAATGAAACAGCATGGTATTGGAATAAAAATACCCATATAGACCTATGGAACAGAATAGAAAACCAAGGAACAAATCCACAACGCTACAGTTATGTCATTTTCGACAGAGTTGCCAAGAACGTAAACTGGGGAAAAAGCCAGTCTCTTAAATAAATGGTGCAGGGAAAACTGGTTATCCACATGCAGAAGAATGAAACTAGAACTCTGTCTCTCACTGTATGCAAAAAATCAAATCAAAATGGATTAAAGACTTACATTGAAGACCTCCGACTATGAAACTACTATAAGAAAACATTAAGGAAACTCTCCAGTATGTTGGTCTAGGAGAAAATTTCTTGAGCAATATCCCACAAGCAACCAATGCAAAAATGGGCAAATGAGATCATATCAAGTTAAAAGCTCCTGCACAGCATAGGATATAATCAACAAAGTGAAGCAACAACCCACAGAATGGGAAAAAATATCTGCAAACTACCCATCTGATGGATTAATAACTAGAATATATAGGCAGCTCAAACAACCCTATAGGAAAAAAGTCAAATAATCCAACCAAAAAAGGACAAAATATTGGAATAAATGTTTCTCAAAAGACATACAAATGGCAAACAAGCATATGAAAAGGTGCTCAAAATCATTAATCATCAGAGAAATGCCAATCAAAACTACAATGAGATATCATCTCACCCCAGGTAAAATAGCTTTTATCCAAAGGACAGGTAATAACAAATGCTGGTGAGGATGTGGAGAAAAGCAACCCTTGTACACAGTTGGTGGGAATGTAAATTAGCACAACCACTATGGAGAACAGTTTGGAGGTTCCTCAGAAAACTAAAATTGAGCTACCAAATATACCCAGCAGTAGGCTGCTGCATATATATACCCCAAAGAAAGGAAATCAGTATATCAACGAGATATCTGCACTCCTATGCTTGTTGCAGCACTGTTTACAATAGCTAAGATTTGGAAGCAATCTTAAGTGTCCATCAACAGATGATTGGATAAAGAACATATGGTGTATATAAACAGTGGAGTACTATTAAGCCAGAAAAAATAAAGAGACCCAGTCATTTGCAACAACAAGGATAAAACTGGAGATTACTATCTTCAGTGAAATAAACCAGGCACAGAAAGACAAATATCACATGTTGTCACTTATTTGTGGGTTCTAAAAATCAAAACAGTTGAACTCATGGACATAGAGAGTAGAAGGATGGTTAACAGAGGCTGGGAATGGTAGCAGGGGGCTGGGGGAAGGTAGGGATGTTTAATGGTTACAAAACAAATAGAAAGAATGAATAAAACAAACTGATAGCGTAACAGGGTAACTATGAAAGTCAATAATAATTGCATATTTTTACAAAACTTAAAAAGCATAATTGAATTGTTTGTAACTCAAAGGATAAATGCTCATAGAGATAGTTGTCCAATTCTCCATGATGTGTGCTTATTTCACATTACATGCCTGTACCAAAACATATCATGTACCCTGTGTGTGTTTATCTACTATGTGAGAAGGAGAGAGGTTGCGGGAAGTCAGGGACCCCGAACCGAGGGACCGGCTGAAGCCATGGCAGAAGAACGTGGATTGTGAAGATTTCACAGACAATTACTAGTTCCCCAATTTCAGACTTTTATAATTTCTTACTCCTGTCTTTACTGCAATCTCTGAACATAAATTGTGAAGATTTCATGGACACTTATCACTTCCCCAATCAATGCCCTTGTGATTTCCTATGCCTGTCTTTACTTTAATCTCTTAATCCTATCATCTTCATAAGCTGAGGAGGATGTGTGTCGCCTCAGGACCCTGTGATGATTGCGTTAACTGCACAAAGTGTTTGTAGAGCATGTGTGTTTGAACAATATGAAATCTGGGCACCTTGAAAAAAGAACAGGATAACAGCAATGTTCAGGGAACAAGAGAGATAACCTTAAACTCTGACCACCAGTGAGCCGGATGGAACAGAGCCATATTTCTCTTCTTTCAAAAGCAAATGGGAGAAATATCACTGAATTCTTTCTCAGCAAGGAACATCCCTGAGAAAGAGAATGCGATCCTGAGTGTAGGCCTCTAAAATGGCCGCTTCGGGGGCAGCCATCTTTTATGGTCAAAGCTGTAGGGATGAAATAAGCCCTAGTCTCCCATAGCGCTCCTAGGCTTATTAGGATGAGGAAATTCCCGCCTAATAAATTTTGGACAGACTGGTTGTCTGCTCTCAAACCCTGTCTCCTGATAAGATGTTATCAATGAGAATGCGTGCCTATAACTTCATCAGCAATTTTAATTTTGCCCCAGTCCTGTGGTCCTGTGATCTCGCCCTGCCTCCATTTGCCTTGTGATATTCTATTACCTTGTGAAGCACGTGATCTCTGTGACCCACACCCTATTGGTACACTCCCTCCCCTTTTGAAAATCACTAATAAAAACTTGCTGGTTTTACGGCTCGGGGGGCATCACGGAAGGTGCCGACACGTGATGTCTCCCCCGGACACCCAGCTTTAAAATTTATCTCTTTTGTACTCTGTCCCTTTATTTCTCAGACTGGCTGACACTCAGGGAATCTAGAAAAGAACCTACGTGAAATATCGGGGTGGAATTTCGCCTGCTATCTGGCTGAATTTCTCCCGATAGAGAGACATATATATCAATGGAATAAAATCAAATGTCGAAAATTAATTCTTACATGCATGGTAAAACAATTTTACAAGGTTGACAAGTCAATTCAATATAAAGAAATATTTCCTCACACAGTGTTGCTGGGACAAATGGACACTGACATGCAAGTTATTGCCTCCCTAGCACCATATGCATGATTGACTCAAATTAATAATGCATCTAAATATAGGAGCCAAATTGACCAAATCCATAGAAGAGAACATAAGAATACATTTTCATCGCTGAAATAAATTGGATCTTTGTCCCCACCAAATCTCATGTCAAATTGTAATCTGCAGTGTTTGCCGTGGGATCTGGTGGGAGGTGATTGGCTCCTGAGGGTGATTTTCATGAATGGTTTTAGCACCACTGGTGTTGTTCTCCTGATAGTGAGTGAGTTCTCACAAGATCTGGTTGCTTAAAAGTGCGTAGCACTCCAGCCCCTCTCTTCATCCTGCTCTGGCTGTGTGAAGTGCTGGCTCCCCCTTTGCCTTCCACCATGATTGGAAATTTCCTGAGGTCTTCCCAGAAGCAGAAGTCACTATGCTTCCTGTACAGCCTGCAGAACCATGAGCCAATTAAGCCTCTTTTCTTTATAAATTACCCAGTCTCAGTATTTCTGTATACCAATGGGAGAACAGACTAATACAGTAGCCTTGGGTTAAACAATGGTTTCTAAGCTATGACACCTAAAGCAAATGAACATAATTTTAAAAAGACATAAAGAACTTCATCAGAAATCAAGTATTAAAATTAAAAAACAGACATATTGAACTCATTACAAAACAGTATTGTGTGACTCAAAGTACATGGTTAAAAGTAAAAAGGCAACACCAAAGAATGAGAGAAAATCTTTAAAAATCTCATAGCTAATTAGGGTCTGTTATCCAGAATAGATAAAAAGTCTTACTTCTCGAAAATAAAAAGGCAAACATCTTAATCAAAAATGGCAAATAATTTGAAGAGTCATTTTTCCAAAAATAGTTGTAGTCTTGTCCAATAAACACATGAGAATATGCTCAATTTTTTTGTTATTCAAGAAATGCAAATCTAAACAACCATAAGATATACTTTACAAACCTAAACGGCATTTTGATAACTAAATAAAATGAGTTGGAAAAGGCAAAATACTATCTGATGCCATTTATATAACACTCTGAAAAAGAAAAAAGTACAGAGACAGTAAAGTATTCAGTGAGTATGAAGGGATTGGACCACAGAAAATTTGAATCAGTAAAGTACAAGAAATGCCTCTGGGGCTTTGAAATTGTTCTATATGACAACGTGACACTGAATATGTGACACTGTTATTCAAGACCTACAGAACTTCATAACACACAGATGGTAAAATAAAAACCTTATTTAGGCCAGGCGCCATGGCTCACGCCTGTAATCCCAACACTTCGGGAGGCTGAGGTGGAGGGGATCACTTGAAGACAGGAGTTCAAGACCAGCCTGGCCAACATGGAAAAACCCTGCCTCTACTAAAAATACAAAACACAAAAATTAGCCACGCATGGTGGCACATACCTATAATCCCAGCCACTTGGGAGGCTGAGGCAAGAGAAGTCCTTGAACCTGGGAGGCAGAGGTTGAGGTAAGCCAAGATCACACCACTGAACTCTAACCTGGGCAAGAGAGCGAGACTGCATCCAAACAAACAAACAAACAAACCAAACGCCTTATTTAGTTGATAGAGATTGACTAAATATTATAACTGTATAACAAATGTGTGAAATAAGCTCACTAGAGTGAGAAAAGGGGGCTGACCTAAGTAAATTAGGAAATAGAGGGAGATTCTGAGATTCTAAGTCAAAAGGACAAATAATTTGTATATAAGGACTGAGTTTTAGTTGGCAAAGTAGTTTCCCAGGGGTGTATAAATTAACACTTTTGAAAACACTATGCATGTATTTTTGGATGATATCATTAAGTTATTAACAAAGCCAACTAGTTCCATGTTAGAGGCGCAAGCTACATACAAGCGAGTTGGAACAGGTACATAGCTTCATGTGGTACTGGATTAGATCATGTGCTGCCAGAAACATTACATGGAATTCATGGCTAGTTTAATATTGATACATACGCATACATGTTGAAATATTTATACACATGTATATATTTGTAAGTCAGTAAACACATGTGTATTCTTTTGTTCAGTCAGCTGACAAGGCCTCAAGTCATCAGATGCCCTAGGGGCAATGAATATACCACAGTCTCTAGATCTTCATTTCTAATTCCATTTTCCATTCAAAGGAACTAGGGCATTGTGAAGAAACGGTGGATAATAGGGTTAGACAGAGAATAAACACAATCAGCCTGCAGCACCTAGTAGTGCCAGAAGAAAAGAAAATAACAACCAACAATGCAACAAACCAAACAGCACACCACACCAACAAACCATAAGTATGGGGAGATTTCAAAATTATAGACGATCCAACTGAAAGAAAGTCCCAGCCCGGAGCGGTGGCTCACGCCTGTAATCCCAGCACTTTGCGAGGCCAAGGCGAGCGAATCATGAGCTCAGGAGATCGAGACCATCCTGGATAATATGGTGAAACCTTGTCGCTACTAAAAATACAAAAAATTAGCCGGGCATGGTGGTGGGCGCCTGTAGTCCCAGCTACTCAGGAGGCTGAGGCAGGAGAATGGCATGAACCCAGGAAGCAGAGGTTGCACTGAGTCGAGATCGCGCCTCTGCACTCCAGCCTGGGTGACAGAGCAAGACTTCATCTCAAAAATAAAAGAGAAAAAGAAAGTTTCTTGGACAATACTGAAGCAATTTGAGCAACAAGCCAAATAAATTATTTCAAGTGAAGTGTAAAATAAGTACCCATATTTGTCTATGGGTAGAACAATGATGGAATAATATGGAACAATTGAAGAAGAATAGGCATTTGTTCATTGTGATTAATTCCAAATAATTTTTGCAGACACTCTGCCCCTAGGAAGTGGAACATAATTCTTCACTTCTTATTTGTGTGTTGTGTGTAGTGACTTCTTTTTGAAACATACAACATGGAAAGGAGAAGAAAAAAAACAGTAATTTCACAGTACAGAAATTTGATTGGAACTATCTCATTCAGGTGATTAAATTAACATCAAAAGTGATAAAGCTGTTACAGTCTGTACCCTTAACAGGATGTGATGAGAATGGCACTTTCCCTCTGTGGTCTTCCTCCCTGAAACCTACAATCCAGTCTAATCAGGAAAGAAACACCAAAGAAATCCCAAATTAGGAATGCCAATGTCATAGCAATCATGCAAACTTGGAGAAATTGTCACAGTCAAAGTCGATTAAGGAGCATGAATTGTAAATGTAATGAGGTATCCTGGATAGGATCCTGGAACAGAAACTCGACATTAAATGACGACTAAGTCAATCTGAATAAAGTGCAGATGGTTAATAATAGTGTAATATTGGTTGGTTCATTGTGACTAATATCCCACACCAATGTAAGGGGGTTATTAAGGAACATGGTGTATGGAGTCTGTGGAAACTCTATATTATATTTGGAACTGCTCTGTAAATCTAAAACTATTCGTAAAGTTCAAAAGTTTATTTTATTTTAAGCCTTTGCTGAGCTTATACAACAGAAAGAACATTAACAATATCATTGATGCCCCCTGAATGTATCTCCTGAATTTCATCTATGTTAACAGCTGAAGGTAACTATCATTATGGATTATCTCTGTCAGTCTCTAATTTTCTTATATTCATTTTTCCTGTATGTTTGTATATATAAACACTATATTGTTTTGTCTTTTATCTTTAAACTTAAATAAATATAAATATTGAAAATATTGAATTTAATCCATATCCCTAGTCTAATTATGAGAAGACATCTGACAAATTCATACTGTGGGAAATTTTACAATAGAACTGACCAGTCCTTGTCAGAAGGGTCAAGGTAACAGAAAATAAGTGAAGACTGAAAAACTATTTCATAGTGGAGAAGATCAGATATGGCAGTTAGAACCTAAGATGGCACCCAATGACTCCCACCTCTAAGTATAAGTGAAGTTGATAAATAACTTTGTATTTTAATTCCTTCTAATGAATGTAGTCAGAAACTGTGAGTTGCTTAAAATCAACAGAATACTACAATGGTGATGGGTCATTAGTAGGACGATTATGTTACATTAGATTGTGATTCTTGTCTTGCTAGCAAAGTGCCTCCCTTGATGGCTTTGATGGAACATTTGCCATATGGGAGAAGCCAACATGGGAGGAAACTAAATTCAGAAACAGGCCAAAGCCAGCAAAGAACTCAGGCCCTTGGTCCAACACCCTTACCCAGAGTTTGCAATATTACATTTAAAATGAATCCACTTTTTTTCAAAAAGTGTTTTTTGAAAAAACACTGTATCACTCACAGGTAGTGTGACTATCTTAGAATAACAAAATAATCTTAACTCTTTTGTTCTCCCTATTAGTGCTGTCATTCGTTTCACTTATACGTGAGTACACATGCACATATACATGTATATTTATATACATATAACATATAGACATAAGCATGCCTAATCAAATAGATTGGTGCTACTATTATTTTCCAGAAACCATTATCTGTGAGACTAAATTAAGAATATGAAAAATAAAAGTTTTATTCCATAGGGCAACCACTAAAATAGTCAAAAAAAGTTATATAATTGATATGCTAAGAATGGAGAGAAAACAGAATTGCATAAAATTCTCAAATAAAACCACAAAACACAGAAAATAAGTGAAGCACAATAACGGGAAGAAAGAACAAGGGCAACAAATCAAAAAGAGTAACACATATGGTTGATATTAATCCAACTCCATTGGTTGTCAGTAGTCTAAAAGCATCAATCAAAGAACTGAGAATGTCAGCGTAGATCAATAAAGTCAACCCAACTAAATGATGTTAAGTAAAATCTATGAAATATAAAGACATGTATACATTTAAAGTAAATAGATGAAACAAAATAGCCTAGGCCAACACTTATCAAATAAAGGAAGGGTCGCTGCATGAATTACAGACAGAGCAGTCTTCAAGCAAGGAAAGTCACTAAAAATAAAGACGGGCATTACACAAAGATGAAGGGGTCAGTTCTCCAGTACAACATAATAATCCTTAAAGCATTTAAGTGCCTAACAACAGAATGTCAAACTATGTAAGGCCAAAACTGACACAACTGCAAAGAGAAAGAGATTAACTCATTATTATAGTTGGAAACCTCAACACTGTCTGTCAGATAGTATTTGTCTGCAACTGTACAGTTACTGTCATCTATACACAAGGGTTACCTCAGCTTCATCCATCTAAGTGCCAAGCATTTTCAGGAATGGAGATGTGCCTTCGTATATTACTGGAGGCATCTCCTGCAGGGGCTCCACAACAGGCGCAGCACTGGTCTCATAGTGTCTTGGCCCTATGATAGCATGCATCTCCCAAAGGACTCGTGGAGCGGGTGCTACATTGTTGCAGGTATGCATGCCACTTCTGTATAATGGAGACTTGAGAAATAGCTGATATAGGCCTGGAAAACAACCCTTCTATCCAGCCCTTAATGGAGAGATCTGTTCTCATTGTTACTGGCAGATGATCAGTTACAGGCTCAATGTGCTGCATGGCCTTACATGCTCCCAGAACCTGTTGTTCAATTGGAGAACTGTGGGTTTCAGCACATTTCCATAGCTGTGACCAGAATCTTAGAAGAACTGCTTTCCCATGCTGAACGTGCCAGAGGACCTGTTTTGTCCCTTCAGGGTTTACAGTCATATCAAAAGACACTGGTATCCCAGAAGCGGGGAACTAGAGCTTGTGCCTGAGCAATCAATATTTTAGCCTTCTCAAATGCTACCACTTGTTCTTTAGTTCTTTATCCTAGATCTGTTTTTGTTTTTTTGAGACAGGGTTTCTAGCTCTTTCGCCCAAGTTGGAGTGCAGTGGCACGATCTCAGCTTACTAAATACTCCACCTCCCAGGTTCAAGCAACTCTCATGCCTCAGCCACACAAGTAACTGGGATTACAGGTATGCATCACCATGCCTGGCTAATTTCTTGTATTTTTAGTAGAGATGAGGTTTCACCACGTTGCCCATGCTGGTCTTGAACTCCTGGCCTCAAGTGATCTGCCTGCCACGGTCTCCCAAAGTGCTGGGATTACAGGTGTGAGCTACTGTGCCCAGCTGAGATTGCTTCTTTAATAGTCAGTATAGGGGATGCAAACATGGAGGTAAACATGGAATGAAAGCCCACTGGTATCCCAAAAGACCTAGGAAACTTTGTAACTGTTTAACTGTTTTAGGTATGGAAAACTTATATTTTCTCAATGACCAAGCCTGAAGTAAGGTGTCTTACCTGGCCAAGTGATCCATAGGAACTTTGCAGCTGGTTCCAGGCCTTGTACTTTTGTGAGTTGATGGCCCATCCTCTGGATTGAAGAAGGGTGTCAATGCATCTCCGTGTTGCTGTAGCAATGACAAGTCTTCAGAAGTTAGAGTATCATCAATATAATGACTGCAAGTCAGGGTAAAAGGGATGCTAAAGAAGGCATTAGCTAAATCTAACACAGCATGATAAGTGCCTATGTTTTGTATTAATTGCTCAATCACTTGAGTTACATTACATAAAGGAGCATGTATCTTAGAAAGATCAGTAGTGTCCACTTATCTACTGTCATATCCAAGTGCCATCAGATTTTATTATTGGTCACACAGGATGGCTGAAAGGACTCTGGGCTGGCCAGATAATATTAACTTTGGCCAATTTCTCCATGGCGGCTGTGACTTCTTATATTCTACCAGGAAGATGGTATTGTCTCACATTAACAATACATTGTGGGGGAGGGAGGTGTACACCTTCTAATTTTGCCTCCAATCTTAATACAGCCTTTGTCATAGGTGAGATTCCCCCACAGATGTTTGTAAAGTGCATCCTAAGAAGACATCCATATTCAAGATGTTTTCTGCAATAGGTGAGATAAAGACAGGAGAGTAAGCAAAGAGGGAACTCCAGACAAAACTAAGGAGGAGAGGAGTTTGTTTCTCTCAGATTTTTAACCCCTCACAACCATCTATAGCTTCCCACTTACCAGGGTGTCTCTCTGGATTTCCATCAATTAAGACACATTCTGCACCTGTGCCCACTAAAGCTAAGGTTCTCTTAGTGCTGTTTTAGACTCCAATCAATAGTGAGCTCCAAATACGGCCTCTGGTCACCCCCTATTGCTCTTACACAGAAGCAGCCTTGACCCTACCTATGATCTCCAGGCTGGAAAGAAGTGCACCCCTGAATTTTTACCAAAGGTTTCTTCCTGTCTTTCTCCCTCTTCTCATGGGGGGTGGGGGAGGTAATAAGAAGGTGTCTAAACTATTGATCAGGAGTCAGGTCTTTCCATACCCCACTAATATGCCACTGGGTTGCCCATCTATATTCTCTTTGTCAATCCCAGCTGAAATCAGATCATACCACATTTGTTTCCTAGTAACCTTAATTGTGTCTTTTTTAAACTCCTTTTTTCAGTCCAGCAGACTTTGTTTCTCCCTTTTTCCATTTTCCTTTAGCAACCAGTCATACCTAATCTCTTTCCTTTTGAGTTTCTAGGAAATCTGAAATGGCTTTCCCTATAACTTATCCCATAAGGGGGTTATTTCACTTCCGGGGTACTTCTGTCTCAATTTTTCAGGTTCATTCCCTTTTAGGGAGATATCATCCCTACTGGTGTCCCATAGCTGCACCATTCATGTACATAAGGCTTTCTCTTGGCAGCTGTTTTAAAGTTTTTATTATATCCAGTAATCCTACCCAGGCCTCTGTGTGTTGGAATTTTGCTTTCCACTGCATGAACAGTTTCACTCTCAAATGGGAAGGATAATGATCTTCCTCCTCTGAGTTAAACTCTATGTCATCATCTGGCTCACTGGTTGTTTCCCAAGAATTACAGGTATTTGCATCCCAGCCTGCACTGGCAAAGACAGTCCACACATTCAGCTGGCACAGCTTTCTCTCTCTCAGCCACACAAAGTGGCAAGGTACAATTTCCAACTGTGCCTCTTGAGTTTCAAGTTTATCATAAAACCAGACATTAACACAGACATGGAAGTTCTCATCCCTTTCTCACTGCGATTCTTTTCCTAGCTTCCCTCCCCTTGCCTCAGCTGCTACCTGTGCTTTCGTGACCACTCACATAGATAATAACAGCAGCAAACTCACTGTTGTCACTGTTTTGCCACCTTTTTCACCACAGTGAGTCATAGTTTTTAGTAACGTTTTACTAAAAAGCTTTAAACACACATAGTGGTCCACAGACATGTAGCATATGGGCAACACCACCCAAATGGATGAGGAGGGCGCTTGTAAAACTTCCTCCACAGACGCTTCTTTCCCCTTGTCCATACTTTGGTTTCCTGGCTGGCCATTTGCTCCGTTAAAGGACCGTATACACAAAGCAACTCTCAAATGCCAAAGGATCTGAAAAATTAAAGAAGAAGGCAGAAAATCCATTTAGTCAGTACTGGTTAATTTATAGATGGAACTTACACACAGAACCATACCCTTGGATGGTTGCAGGTAGGCAGTTGTTCACACTGTTACTCTCCAGACCCAGGGTTAATACTCCACAGGGAAAAGGTATACATGCTTTAGCAAGGCAATTAAAAGCAACCCTCCAGAATGGACAAGGAGGCTACATGCCTCATAGCATGTAATTTTTGTGGTAACACACTGGTTGACATGATTTTACACTAAGGACAGTAAATAAATGAGAGATCAGAAGGCATTCATGGAACTGGGGCAAATCAGAAGTAACATGGTGGACTAGCATCCAAGATGGGTCATTTTGTCTCCACAGGTTCTATGACCTGCTGTTTTTTCGAAGTACAGCTGGGAATATTCATGTAAGTGCAAGACATGCAAGGTTTTATCCTTCCCTGTCTTCAGTAGCACAGTGATGAAGAGAACAGTCTCTGCAGGGAAATGTCTAGTGTAAAATGAACTCTCCAAAAAATAAGAACATGTAATATTTGAACACAGACAGAAGAATCAATAGGCCGGGCACGGTGGCTCACACCTGTAATCCCAGCACATTGGGAGGCCAAGGCGGATGGTCAGGAGTTTGAGACCAGCCTGACCAACATGGTGAAACCCCATCTCTACTAAAAATAAAACAAAATAAAATAGCCAGGTGTGGGGACGTGTGCCTGTAGTCCCAGCCACTCAGGAGGCTGAGGCAGGACAATTGCTTGAACCCGTGAGGCAGAGGTTGCAGTGAGCCGAGATCACAACATGGCACTCCAGCCTGGGTGACAGAGCGAGACTCTGTCTCAAAAAATTAATGATAATAAAGAAGAATCCATAAAAATAAAAAGAGTTGAAAATCTGATAGATGTCTATATAAACAAATAATCCAAAAGAAAAAGTAATGGAAAAAGGTGAATTTTCTTTTTTTTTTTTTTTGAGACGGAGTCTCACTCTGTCACCCAGACTGGAGAGCAGTGGCGCAATCTTGGCTCACTGCAAGCTCCGCCTCCCAGGTTCACGCCATTCTCCTGCCTCAGCCTCCCAAGTAGCTGGGACTACAGGTGCCTGCCACCATGTCTGGCTAATTTTTTGTATTTTTAGTAGAGATGAGGTTTCACCATGTTAGCCAGGATGGTCTCAATCTCCTGACCTCGTGATCTGCCGCCTCGGCCTCCCAAAGTGCTGGGATTACAGGCGTGAGCCACCGCACCAGGCTGGAAAAAGATGAATTTTCAATAAACATTTCAGTATACTGAATGTCCATCGAGAGAAATAAAATTTACTTTTAAACTCATGCACAAAATCAACTTCAAGTGGATTATAGACCTCCATAGAAAAAAGAATTCAATGGAGTATTTAGAATTTAATATAGGAAAATAATTTCATTACAATAGGGTAGGTGAGGAATTCTTAAAAAGCACCTACAAAGTGTTTACTCTAAGAGAGAAATGCTATTCTAACATAGTTGATATGAGTAGGAACACTGGGTCAAGCTCAAGGTTGTTCTAAGTCTTTTCCTATAGGGCTTTAGCTCAGATTCAGAGCTAGAACTTTCAGAGGGTCACAGTAGTGTCTACCTCTTGAGATGCTGTGACAACTTAATGCACTCATACACAAAATGTGTAGACTAATGGCAGCTTTGAAAGGAAAATAAAATCTCAGGACACTAAATCTCTATGACCAATGGGAAAGTTAGGCTTAGGAACTGTGTCACACTAAAACTGACTTCCTTTTTTTCCCAAATAGATAGCTGTAATTATACATGGTTACTTTATCTTATGCAAAGTGTAGATCCAGCAAACATGAGATGAATGCATAATCAACTTTATCCCCCACTCCTCTATTTGCACATATCAAATGTGGTTTCAGTGAGTGCTAATCAAAGCCTCACGAGAATGCAAACGCTTGCCTCAGTGCCTAGCCCTCTCTGCTTTTTTCCCCCTTCCCCTACTGCTCACTTTTTCCCCTTTAAATGCTGAAGTCATCAAACCTTGCTTTGGAAAAAGCAGATCACAGATCCTGCTGTAATTTGTGTTGCTTTTTCCCATGCACTTTCTCAACGTTGGCAAGATCTAGCTCTAAATTTACTGAGACCTGCCTCAGTCACTTTTCAGTTTATATTTTGGAAACCACAATGAGTTCTGTGCAGAGTTTCGCCCTTTGGCCTGCAGCAACTCTCCTAGCAGGGCCCTGGTACAGCCAACTGGAAGCTTTGTATTGCTCTGACTGATTGGATGATTTGCTGAGGTCTGGGAGCCTCCCCCTACACAGATCCCTGATCTCCCAAACTTTTTGTTTGAGGTCTGAGGTATGTTCTCTTGTAGAACTCCCTCTCTGGGAGTTTGCTGCTTCTGAGGAGGCAGAGCGCAGTCTTGCACTTGGGCCAGCATCTCCAAGTAAGGAGCTGGCTGGGGGTTTTTAAATTGGATTTGGTGGCTTTGAGTCTAGCTTTCTTCTTAGCCAGTTACAAATTCTTAGGTTCAAAGATCTCAACTTATGTAAATTGTGCAATCACTTTTACTTCCTGTTTTGGCAAAAATCTATGTCTGTCTCCTCTACAAAGTTTTGACTGGAGATACATAAAAAAGATTTTAGAGATCTCATATTCTTAATAATACATTAGAATATGAAATTTTACAAATGACTTACAATAGCGTCATGACTATCCTTGAGAATTCTGGCTCTGTACAGTAAAATCTCTTAGCATTGCTTGAAATTCATAAGACATACCCTTGATTAAAGGGCATGGTCAAATATTTAACTTTCTTTGGGTTCAATGTACATACATGTGTTAGTGTGTGTTCCAAAATTGTACATCAAAACTCTGTGACCACAATTTTCCTGTATTACAAACCTGCAAATGTACCCCAAACCTAAAACAAAAAAATTGGTAAAATAAAATAGAAATGTCTTCAGAATTTAACTTAGATATTTGGTCTGAACTGGTCAGGCAACTCAGATACTGTTTTTGCTGGATGTTTTAGGGCCATAAACTGCTCTGTGATATTTTAAATAATTGTTTGATTTGTCTTTCTTACAGCCATAGTAAGTTCAGGGGACATATAGTGTTCTCCCTAGCCCAGCTGTGCCCTCTGACTACATTGGGAAGGGTCAGATGTTATTGGCAGCTGTGTCTTTTGTCCCTGGCTCTGCACCTGACACGTAAGTAAAATTTCTTACTTCCTAGAGTTTTTCAATACAAGTAAGAGTTACTGAGAGGTAACATTACAGTTAACATATATAATTGAATCTACTAGATGCATCCAAAGTATATAATAAAAGTGAGATGTGTTATTAGAAAAAAAATGCTATAGAAAGGTATGAGAAATGTGTTTTCCTTACAAAGGGAAACTAATTTTGTCTACTGTAGAGGTTTTCAAGTTGTCTTTAAATTGAAGACAAACTGACGGATAAAGCTAAATGGCTACAGAAAGTTGGGGCTTGGTGTGGTGGTTCATTCCTGTAATCCCAGCACTTTTGGAGGCCCAAATGGGAGGACTACCTGAAGCCAGCAGTTTGTGACCAGCCTGGGCAACAAAGTGAGACACCATATCTACAAAAAAAAAAAGAGCCAGGCACAGTAGTGTGCGCCTGTTGTCTCAGCTACTCAAGAGGCTAAGGTGGGAGGACTGCTTGAGGCTAGGAATTTGAAGCTATAGTAAGCTATGAGTGTGTCACTGCATTCCAGCCCAGGTGATAGAGGGAGACCTTGTCTCAAAAAAAAAAGGTAAAGGAAGGTTGGAAAGAAATTTTTTGGTTGTTCTAAGATACAATCATGGGATAAAACTGAAAGTTTGACGGAATTGTAGATTTGTAGCAGATTGATTTTACAAAAGAAATACTGTGTGTGACCAAGTGGGCTGAAATTTAAAGGGTATTATTCAGTCTTTCTATAAATTGAACACTAAAAAGCACATTTATGCAAGCCCAGAATCTGGATGTGATTTTTTCAGAGAACTTATCTGCTTCTCAGTAGAAAATAGTAAAAGGTTAACAAGCATTTCTTAAATCATACCTTATGATTAAACTGATTGATATTTGATGAATTCATTTATAAATTTTATTAAAATTGCTTTAGTATTAATACCACGCCACGCAAAGGTAAAGTTGGTTTTCTTTTTTGAACCAGGATTTTGTTTAATATTAAGAGAGAGTAAAAGATTTTTGTTTGCCTTTTGGGCAAACTGCAAAAAAAGAGGAGGGGAGTAAGGTTCACTTGGTTTCATACTATATTTATTAGGTTTTACTGGTTTTTCATTTTTTCGAGGTATTTTTGTTTGTTTTTTTGAGACAGGGTCTCACTCTGTCACCCAGGCTGGAGTGCAGTGGTGTGATCTTGGCTCACTGCAACCTCCATGTCATGGGTTCATGTGATCCTCTTTCCTCAGACTCTGTAGTAGCTAGGACTACACACACCAATACAACCAGATAATTTACAAATTTATTTTCTGTAGAGACGAAGTCTCACTATATTGCCCAGGCTCGTCTTGAACTCCTGGGCTCAAATGATCTTCCCGTGTCGGCCTCCCAAAGCAATGGAATTACAGGCACAAGCCAGTGCACTCAGCCTGATATTAGACCTTATTGTTTAAGAAACTGAATCTCCTTTCTCTATATCAAAGAATAAAGATTTTTGCTTTTTAGAAATATTTAAAATATCATTTTTGGCTTAATGAGTAATTCACTTCATCGTGATTGGTGATTCTATTTTGTAACACTGTTTCAAACCTTTGATATTTGACAAACTTTCCAAATCAAATTTTAATTTAGCCTTAGTGACCTAATTAACTTTTTGAATATTAGGTCACCTGAAGTCCAACAGTGACAAATTAGCCACATTTAACATGTTAAAATCATATAGAAGCATGGTGAAATATTTAACTTTTGAGTTCTATTTACCTAAATATTACCATGTGCTCCAAAATCATATGAGATGCCAATAATTCTGACATGCCTTACTATATGTTATCAGTAATAATTATGATTATTATGTTAAATTGTTGTATGACACAGAAATAACCAAATTTCTTATCAGCTATACCTGTAACTATGACTGTCCTAAGAGTTTTTCATTCACAATTGTTGTTTTACTTTGATTATTCTCAAAAAGTAGTTTATAAAAAACCAGTCGGCCAAAACTTGCTTCTTTAGAAGAGTTGGTGAAAATGACTCTGATAGGTTTTCTTGAATTTAGGTTTCTGATAACTTTGGAGATTGTGCCATTGTACAAACGAAAACAATAACAATAACAACAACAAAACTCCCAGGACTCTAAACAGGCTGACGTGTTCATGAGGATTGCTAAGCCAATACAAAGTAGAACAAGTTAATTATGTGGGACTGATGTAACAGAAGAATGAAACAATTTTTTAGGACTTTTTTATTTGAAACATTGATGACTATATTTGTTTTTCAGAGTAAAGAAAGGTTTATTCTTAGCTATTTATAGTTTTTAACAATTGAATATGGTATACTCTTTAGAGAAAAATTTCAACTATACTTCTTTCTCTTTACCTGATTTCCCCAGAATTTGAAAACTATTTCTGAATATTCTTAATTTATGGTAATATAAGTTATTTGCATATAATCAATAACAATTTTTTTTTTGTAATGGGACACAATTGGAGACACTGGTTACCTTGTCAAGGCTTTGGCTGGAATAGCATATTTTCATCTATGAGCAGATTGCTTTGAGAAATTTAGGTTGAATAATAAAACCAGTAAAATTCCCTTGGAGAGACTGGCCCTGTGCCTTCTTTATGCAGTTTCTTTACAGATTTTCTGATCTGTGGTAAGAAACGCATGTCACTTTCTGACAGGCCTAGGAACTCCAAGTAATCTTGCGACCTCAAGATGAGATGAATTCACCCAGTTCATACAGTTATTTGCAGGCACAATAAATGCTTGTTTGAGCTTGAGGGGCTATTTGAAAAAAATAGTAGACACTTTGTTTAAAAAAAAGTTCCATCAGTGCCAACTTAGAAGAGCCTATATGGAAAAAAAATAGTCTTGCTGCACTTTATGAAAATAATCAGGCCAAGTACAATAAAACTAAAACTTATTTTGGAAATAAATTGGTCTTACTATGATTTTTCTTTAGTAAAAATGGAAGACTGTAGAGAGAAAAAATGTATTTCAAATGAAACTATAGTACATCTTTTATTGGATTCTAGCCCTGTTCATTGTCTTCCAGTTTTATTATTGGTTTACAATTTAGCTAGACTGGATCCTAAATTCTTTGCTGGTTACCAGTCTCCAAACTAAAATTTTCAATGTTTTTTTTTTTTCTTTCCCATTTTTTTCTGACTTCAAATTAGTAGAAATCTGTGCTTTTTGTAAAGCCCTGCAGACTGAAACTAGAAAACTTAAACTTTGGGAGAAATAACAGCATCTTATTTATTTACATAAAATATTTTCATGACCGTCTAGTTATATATGGACTGCTCTGTGATATAGTCTATTGGTTTTCAAGGATTGCTTTCTACTTTATTGCTATAATCCAGCTGTGTCTCTTTTTTCTTATCTTTTCCCTTTATTTCTTATTCCCCCTATTTCTTCACAACCTTCTAGAATGAGTCTCCTTAAAAATGTGGATCCTAACCTTCTAGGAATAAACCATCCTAATGTTGAAAGATTAGGAAAAAATATAACCAAACACACATTTTCTGCTAAAATGCTTTCTCTGAAATATTTTGAAGAACAAGGAAAATAAAATCTTGGGACCCCAAACTCACTATGCCAAAGGAAAAGTCAGGAACTGAGTCATGCTAATACTACCTTCCTTTTGTTCCCAAAGAGACAGCTGTAATTTCACAAGTTTGCCTATCTTATGTAAAATGTAGATCTACCACGCACAAGACAAATGCACAATCAACTTTTTCTCCATTCCTCTGTACACATGCAACATCTGGATGCAGTGAGTGCTAATTCAGGCCTCATTCGGATGTACTTGCCTCACTGTCTTTCCTCCCCTTTCTTTATCCTCCACCTGCTCCTGCCTGGTCTCACCCCTATAAATATGGAAGTCAGCAAAACCCTCTTTGGAAAAAGCACAGGCCACAGAGCCTACTGTGACTTGTGTTTCTTTATCCTTAAACTTGGCAAAATAATTCTCTGAATTGAATGAGATCTGTGTCAGTCATTTTTGGTTTACATAGGTCTACACTAAACACTAAGTTACTATTTGCTACCAGTGACAGCTTTTTTCAAGTAATTGCGAGAAGTATCATATGTATCAATTGTAAAATACATCATTATTTTACATCACAATAAAAGCATAAAACTATTGAAAAACTATGACATCACAAAAATTTTGTCATATATGTTGAAAATAATACTTTTTGTTTGAAATGCCTGTTCCCTGGTGCCATAAAGAAATAGCACTTGAATATAAATTTAATTTCCTCAGCAAGGCCATTTTTATATTTTCTTCAGAAAGGGTACACTCGCCAGCATTTTTGCCATGAGAGTGCACAGAACAAAGGAGACAGGGTCATTTATAACCTGATGCTTCCACCCCACTGCTGTGTCTGGTTTCCATTGGCTGGAACAGGACCTCACATTCCGTATTTGTCCCGACTGGCTAGCAACTTAGAACTTTTTAAAAGAGGCAAAGGCAGAGGAGAACAAAGGAAGGAGGAAGTAACTTTTGGAATCCAGAGAAAGGTAAAAACACCTTCAAATAAGGAAGAGGAACACGCTATGACCTAATGCTTGCTTGGACCAGTATAAGCATGCCAGGGCAAATATTTAGGTTAAATTGTGGGAGCTAAGAACATAAAGTACATTCATTTCTTTATTACGGCTAGCAGATATTTAAGAATGTTAGCACAGGTCTTTGAAAAAATTTTGCTTCTAAGAGAAGTTACTATTTATTTCTAATTAGATGGCGAGGAAAGTCTTCGAAGAGGAACCTCTATTCTACTTTTTACACTTTTGAACTTATATAAATGTGTGTATTGATGTCATATCACTCCTATGATCACATAAGACAGAAAGTGAAAGCAAAATAGGTAATCAAGGTTTTCTAAAATTTCTCATATTTGGATAAAACTCTTCTAAATCACTGTGCAACTCACCTTGTCCATGGATTTTTTCTACACTAGCATCATCTCTGGTAATTAGGAGCTTTGCTGATGCCATATTTGTAGTGAGAGAACTATAATAGTTTCTGTTAGATTATGTTTCTCATCTGCTAACATCCCTCTCCAAGTCATGATGTTAAAGATACCACCAGAATGTGAAAATGGAAGTTTTTTACATCAAGTTCACTTGTGTGCACATGAAGTCCATCACATTATTACTGTCTTCTAACCAATAGCCTTTTAACAATATTATGATTGATCTCTATTTGAAAGATGTAAAAAATATGCCTTTTAAAATAAATGGAACACCTTATTTTTTCTCTGTGACTGCCCCCTTCTCACTATAAAATTTTGTCGGCTCATCATATGTATTCTGGTCTATTATTGAGAAAACATGTTTAACTATAGTTTCAAATTAGTTGAACAACTCAATTTACCTGCTACCTCAGGATTAGAGAGAGAGTTATTATTGGGCTACTAGAATTCCTATTTTAAATGTTGCTGTGAATTGTTTTAATTTTATGTAACCTGGGCATTCATTTTGTACATAGTGTTGACATTCTCATACCAGAAATAGGGTTTAGAAATCCGTGACAGTTTCCAGTTTGTGGCCTCTTCCACATTCCTCAAGGTGGTCATTGAACATAGCCCCTTATAAAACCTGCTCAAGGTGACTACTCCATATAAGACAGCTGAATACCACCTTTATCTCACCTCACTGTCCCCTGTGGGAACTGCACAGATATTCGGCAGTAACCACCTCTCAGTCAAACTTTGACTCTGTGGAAATCATGGTTGCTTCACCTTAACCCAGCAATTTGAACTCCTCATGAGAAACCTGCTTGGGTAACACTCCAAAACCCAATGTAATGTTTAGTTTTAGGAGTCAACTAACTGTATTAACGAATACCTAGAACACTGGCAAAGCATTACTTCTGGATCTGTGAGGTTTCACCAGAAAGGTCTGAAATGTGAGTCGGTAGACAGAGTGGGTAAGATCCTGTGATGGAGCAGGGACCCTTTGTTAGGGGCCTGTAGCTTCCCCAAGCAGGGAAATAAAGGAAAATCGTGAGTCCCTTCAAGGGAAATCCCTGGTACCTAGCTAGCACTGAGAAAGAAATGAGGAACTTGATAAGCAAGAAGGTAATAGTAGCCTAAACAACAGCCAAGGTAGTTACAGTCAGAAGATGTTTGTTTTGTTCTAAAGATCGCATCTTAACATACATTCCTGAGTCATTTTTCATAGAAACCTAGACCCCCACCAAAGGCATCTGCTGACAAGTACACCTCAGATAAGGGGGGCCTGAAAACTGAATTCTGACTGCCATTCTTTGTGCTAAATTTCTTCCTGAGGGGCTAGAGGGAGGCAAATCCATTAGCCAAAGAGCTAATATTTTTTTCTGCCAACCCCCAAATTTTAAAACAACTCTTCTTTTCTTTAACCAATTACAAATCAGAAAACCCTTGAATCTATGTATGGGCTGTAAGCACCTGCTTCAAAATATCACGACTTTTCAGGACAAAACCAATGTGTAACCTCCAGTACTGATTTACAATTTTGCCAGTAACTTCTGCTTTCCTGAAATTTACCCCTGCTTTAAAAAAACCCTTACCTGCAAGCCACTGGGGAAGTGGGAACTTAAGCATTAGCTGACTCATCCGCCTTGCTTCACAATGTCCAGATAAACACCTCCTTTTCTCCCACTGCAAATGTCAGTGTAGGTATCTAGTCTTACTGTACTGGGTGAGCAGACCTGAGTTGAATTCTTTTTTTTTTTTTTTTTTTTTTTTTGAGACGGAGTCTCGCTCTGTCGCCCAGGCCGGACTGCGGACTGCAGTGGCGCAATCTCGGCTCACTGCAAGCTCCGCTTCCCGGGTTCACGCCATTCTCCTGCCTCAGCCTCCCGAGTAGCTGGGACTACAGGCGCCCGCCACCGCGCCCGGCTAATTTTTTGTATTTTTAGTAGAGACGGGGTTTCACCTTGTTAGCCATGATCCTGACCTCATGATCCACCCGCCTCGGCCTCCCAAAGTGCTGGGATTACAGGCGTGAGCCACCGCGCCCGGCCTGAATTCTTTAACAATCCACCCTCTATGTGGGTAGGCACCATCCAGTGGGCTGGGGGTCCCGATAGAATGAAAAAGTAATGAGAATGATTTTGTTCTCCCTCTCTCCTGGAGCTGGTACACTCTCTGCCTCCTGCCCTTGGACATCTTAACTACAGACTCTCTTCCTTGGGACTCCAGGACTTACTTCTGCATCCCTCCACATTCTCAGTCCTTTGGCCTCAGACTGAGAATTACACTGTCCGCTTTCCTCATTCTGAGACTTTCAGCCTTGGAATGAGCCATGCTACTGGTACTCCATGGTTTACAGCTTACAGAAGACCTGTCTTGGCTTCCATAATCATGTGACCCAATTTATCTAATTAATGCTCCCCCATCTATCTATATATGTATCCTATTGGTCCTGTATCTCTGAAGAATGCTAAAACAGGTTTTATTTTTTAAACCATGAATGATTGTAGAGAACCAGAATTTTAGGAATGAGTTTCTTTCATTGGTTTTGGGGTTTCTAAACTTAGATCTCTAAACTGATGATACCTAAAAATGTTAAAGCCTCCATTTCTAATAGTCCAGAAAACATTGCTAGTCCATGTCATAAACTGCTTAAAGGATATGCAAACATCTACCTTTGACACTCCTAATCAACACCGATAAAAGACAAGGAACTTGGTGACTCTGACAGCACATCTTTAAATATCTGTGGAAAATCAAGGACTCTGCTTCTAGAGTTGATGAGTAAAGTGATCAATAAAAAAGATACGCTAAGAGATTCAAATTTCAGAATTCGGCTTCACATAAAAAGCCTTAGAGCTTCTTACAGTGCTCTGAGTGAGAATTATATCTCCTATAGTCACAGGGCTGAAAATGCTAAAAGTCAAACACAAACCTTCACCGTGCAGTTGGCTGAATTACTTTGAAAGTTGAACTTTCAGCCTAGCAAGGTACCTACTGTAAATTTAAAGCACTGTACAGAGAAGAATGGAACTCTGTAGAGTGGGTTGGGAACATTTGGGGAGACCATGTTGAGGCTGGAGACATTGAGCTCTGAAATTCCGACGTCTTCTTTGCCAGTAGACCTGACCCCCTACTGACACCCTCTTGGCAGTAGCCTCTTCACCCACACTGGTATAGGTGGTTCCACCTCCTCTGAGGGGATTACGCCAGCATTGCCTGAGGGAAAGGTAATGGACTGCAATGCAGATTCTCCTAAGGCCCCACACCCACCACTCCTTTTTGCTTCTAGGCCTATAAGTAGACTCAAATCTCAAAATGCCCTTAAAAATGATATACAAAGTTTGGCCCATGGGAGGTTCATGACAGTTCAAGAAAACTATTTGAGTTTATAATTTATACAAGGAGAAATCTGGAGAACATGTGTGGAAAAGGGTATTAAGAGTTAGGATAATAGTGGAGGAAACAAAGTTGGATCACCCAGATTTATTGATATGGACTCATTAAAAAAGATACTGGTTTTAGTTTTGCAGCATGGGAAATTAGAAAGGGCTCTAACAGTTTGGTTGGTTGGCTGAACTATAAATCAAAAGATGGCCCTTATTTAGCCAGTTGGATATGCCTGATCTCCCTTGGCCTCATGTAGAGGAAGAGATTCAAAGGCTTAGAACGAATGGAACTCCAGAGTGCATTTGTCATTTGAAATCTACTCACCCACACTGGGAGGCTCCAGAAGACCAACCTTTCAGCAATACTTTAAGAAACTGATTTCTAAGGGGAGACCAGCATCCTTGAATAACTTTCTCTGTAGCTGGAAGCTTATACTGAGAACCACAGTCACTCAATAGAAAATTTAAATGCATTGGGAATAACTGGATCTCACAGGTCCCAGAGCCATGTGGCAGCTGTCAACCTTCAGAATCAAGATGGACATAGTTACCAAAATGGGCAGCAAAGGTACAGCAACATTCAGATGCATCTGACTCAAGTAGATCTATGGTGTTGGCTAGTTTGACTGTGGTGTTCTCAGAAGTAAAATAGAAAAGAAGCCTAATAAACCCTTAATTGATCTGAAAATACTGAAAACATTTATGTTTACGAAAGCCTAACTCAAATCAAAATAATAGAGAATCACAGCTCCTACTAAAATCCAAGACTAGAGCCAGTTTATAGTCAAGAACTCCTTGAAAAAAGGAGCAGCCAGGTCCCCTTGATGAAGGACCCAGGTATACCACAAAAACTTTATACTGTTCATCTTTCTCCTGTCCTTCCCAAAAGGGAACCTATAACCTTTTAACAGCTGTGTTTTGGGGAAAGGAATATAGTAAGAACTTTTCAGGACTAGTAGACACTGGCTCTGACCTTACATTGATTCCAGAAGACTCAACCCAACTCAAAACATCACTATAGAATGCCAGTCAGAGTGGGGATTTATGGAGGTCAGGTGATTAAATTTTAGTCACATGAAATCACCATGGGTCCAGTGGCCCCAAACACATACTCTGGTCATTTCTCTAGTTGTAGATGCAAAGCTTTAATAGACATAGTTAGCACCTGGCACATTTCCCACATTGGTTCCCTGACCTGTGGAGTGGGCGCTAGTATGGTGGGAATATCTAAATGGAAGGCACTAGAGCTGCCTCTACCTAGGAAAATAGAAAATCAAATTCATAACCACACCTCTGGAGTGACTGTAGAGATTACCACCACCATCAAGGACTGGAAGGATGCAGGGGTAGAGATTCTAACACATCCCTGTCTAACTTGGCCTGTGCAAAAGACAGATGGATCCTGGAGAGTGACAGTGGATTCCCACAAGCTAAACCAAGTGTTCCTTGTAATTGCAACTGCTATATCAGATGTAGTTTTATTGCTTGAGCAAATTAACACATTCCCTGATACCTGGTATGCACCTATTGATCTAATGAAGCTTTTTCTCTATTTCTCTTCATAAGGCCCACCAGAAGTCGTTTAATTTCAGTGTCAATAACTTCTCTGTCCTACCTCAACATAATATCAACTCTCCATAACAAAGTCACAGTTTGCAGGAAGTTGATCACCTTCTCCTTCCACAGGATACTACACTGGTCCAAGGCATTGATAACATTATGCAGATTTAAACTAGTGGATGTGCAGTAACAAGTACTCTGAACACTTATAAGGTATTTTCATTTCAGATAGTGGGAAATTCTCTAACTAGATCTCTTTTACCAAAAGCAAAAAGCAAACAAACAAACAAAAAAAAGGTATTAATGGCCCTATGCCAGAATAAGGGACTACAAGAAAACATGTAAATTGACTTCCACGAGGATAAAAGCCAGAGAAGGCAAGCAAATATTTCCTGAGTTAGACTCTCCCCATGAAGCCATGAAGAGCACTGTGACACCTGGTCTCCCCTGAGACCCAAAGCCTCTTTGACACCAGCAGTCTCTGTAATTGGCACACTGGCTCCCTAGCAGTAATCCCCCTGGGAAGTCTTCTTAAAAAGCAGAGGATATCCAGGATGGTTTGAAATTTCTCACAATTATTTTTTCAAAAATCCATAGCTATCCAGGTAGTTAAGGAGGCCCATGAGAGCTCACATTATGGTAGATAACCCTGTACAATTGGCTCCTTCAAACGATGACCACTCCCAACCTTGGAGACAGTGCAGCAAGTGACCCACAGTTGCTCTCTCTGCCACACTAACAGTCCCCATAACAGATCACCCTCAAGGCCTCATGTTAAGGAGTACAATTTAGGGGAATTTACCCTGGCAAGGACTGGCAAACACACTTTACGGTCATGCTCCAGACCCCCGGGAACTTTAGATACCTTCTAGGTGTGGTTGTTATCTTCCCACGATGGATAAAGGTGATCAACTCGCTCTGATACCACCTCGGAGGTATCATGCCATCTCTTAAAGGATATTTTTCCTGGGTTTGGGCTGCCTAAAACCATGTAGTGGACAAGTTTTTTTTTTTTCTTTTTTTTTTTTTTGAGATGGAGTCTCACCCTGTTGCCCAGGCTGGAGTGCAATGGCGTGATCTCAGCTCACTGCAGCCTCTGCCTAGCGGGTTCAACAAATTCTCCTGCCTCAGCCTCCAGAGTAGCTGGGATTACAGGTGCCCACCACCACGCCTGGCTGTTTTTTTGTATTTTTTAGTAGAGACGGAGTTTCACCATGTTGGCCAGGCTGGTCTCAAACCCCTGACCTTATGATCCGCCTGCCTTGGCCTCCCAAAGTGCTGGCATGAGCCAGCTTTGGCCTCCCAAAGTACAGACATGAGCCACCATGCCCGGCCAGTGGGAAAGCTTTTATATCTTAAATCACTCAAAAGGTAGCCCAAGACCTAGAAATCCCCTGAAAACTCCACACAGCAAGGAGACCCCAGGCCTCAGGAGAAGCAGAAAAAGCCACTTAAAGCTTAACGAGAACGTTGGCTAAACTGTGCTGGGAAACAGAGGAAAACTGACTCACTCTCTTACCATAGCTCTTCTGGACTCTAATCATCCGGTGGATGTGATCATGCATTCTCTGACAGTAGTCAGCCTCTTTTCCCAGGCACCTATGTCATCAGTCACCGGGCTTATGAATAAAGTGGCCACTGTGGTAGGGACTGAGGTTTTGCATACACACAGCAATCTGGAATTCCTTTCACCATGGCCAACCAGGTTACAGACCCCTCTGAGTGTTCCAACTGTCAGCAGCAGAAACTAACACCAAGTCTCTATATGGCACCATTCCCCAGGAAGATCTGCCAATTTCCTTGTGGTAGGTTGATTACATTGGGCAGCTTTCATCAGGGAAGGGGCAGCATTTTGTTCTTCCTGGAATAGTAAGACAGTTACTCCATCTATAAATTTTACTTCCTTGCATGCAAGTATTCTGTGGAAACTACCATCCATGGACTTAATGCCTATCTACCATCATGGTATTCCACACAGCATTGCTTCTGAACAAGGAACTCACGTCACAGACAAAGAAGGGTAGAAATGAGCTCATGCTCAGAAACTTCAGTGAATTCACCATGTTCCCTATAATCCTGAAGCAACTCACTTGAAACAATGGTGGAATGACCTTTGGGAGTTACAGTTCCAGCACCTGCTAGATGACAATATTGTGTAACTGTGGGGCAAGGTTCTCTAGAAGGCAGTATATGCTCTGAACCAGCATGCATTATATGGCGCCATTTCTCCCGAAGCAGTGTGGTCACAAACACTTCATCAGTCTCTAAGGACTCCCAAATATTTCCTATCTTCTAAACCCTCACAAGAATACAGGCTTTTACTAGTCTGCCTCTCCAAGATTCTTTTAGCCTCTGCCCATCACCCAGTTTGAAAGACACTTTCATATTTTCAGGTATTCATTTTCAGCAACAACCTACTTGTCATTACCAGTTTTCTGTATTAGTCCCTTCTTTGTTGCTTAAAACAGAATACAAAATATTGGGTAATTTATAAGGAAAATAAATATATTTCTCACACTTAAGGCATAAATGATGGCTTGGCAGCCTCCACAAATTTCAAAGTATTTTTTTTTTGACAGCCTGGGAGTCCAGAGAGAGAACTGTCACAGGGTCAGATCCACTGCCGAGAGCCCCCAGTAGAAGGATGCCAAACACAAATGTGGGGTTGGAGCTGCTGCAAAGAGTCCCCACCAGGGCAATGCCAAGTGAAGCCACAGAACTGAAGTCACTGCAGAGAGTTCCACATGGGTAATGCCTAGTGGTGCCAATACCAGGATCCCAGGATTGTGAAGTCCCCTGTGGCATTCAATGCCTGCCTGGGAAAATTTCAACCAGTACAAGCACCCACGGGTGATTCACCAAGGAAACCCTTAGGGGTGACACTGCCTAGGGCTTGCCACTCCAACCCTCACCCCAATATGTTAAGGAGTAAAAAACAAAAAAAAAAAGGCTCTCCAGCTTTAAGATGTAATGTTTGCCCTCCTGGACTTCAAATTTACTTAGGGGCTGTTACTGTTTTCTTTGTGTCTATTTCTCTCTTATAGAATGGGAATGTGTACATTATGTTTATCCTGAAATCACCTTTGAAAAAATTCTAACAGTGAGAAAATTATGACTGTAAAAGAGATATGACCTGACTGAATCCATCTTGGCTTTAATCTCAAAGCTGCCCTTGTTTGTTCCTGGACAAAGGGAACATTAACATTATAGCCTAACTTTGAAACAAAGATGACAGCCCTTCCTTGAAACAAATCCCTTAATTGCTTGGGGACCAGACCACCTTTGTAAAACCAACAAATTAACCACAAGATTAGAAAATATGGTTCAAGAGCCATACAGCCAGAGGCCATAACATTACTAACATCCCCAATTGCTCCTAGAGACAGCATTCATACTGTGAACCTAAGGGGCCTAGGATCCCTATAAGCCCACTGTTTGGGCTGGCCCTGCAGACTTGTTAGTTACAAAATTTGCTACACCTCCCTGAAACAAAAAAGTTGAAGTTTCCCTCTTATCTTGTTTTATGTTCTTGAAAACTTGACTTAGTAACCATGTGAGGATGCTGTCCCTTGTTCTCCCACATACACAGAGTTGGAATTTCTGGATTCAGGTCAGGCAGCCAGTCTGAAAGGATACATAATAATGTCACAGCTAGCTTTAAGGATTCTCTTGAGCAGTTAAAATCCTTGAAGCTTGGAGCTGACTGACCTACATTATTTCTGACCAACAGCAACTGCCCCATACTGTAGCTCAGTAACTAAGGTTTTTCCCTTTTACTGCAGCAGCCTGGGTTTGATTCTCACCTCAAGCAGTAAGCCCTTTCTAGTGTGATATTTGGAGACTTTTTGCCATTCATTCGATGATTTTCTTCTCCATGGACATCTTCTCACTTTCTGTCTTAAATTTTCCTTTATAAGCTATCTTTGGGGAAATTCTCAATCTTGCAAAAACTGCTTGCCATCTCTGTGAGACACTTCATGCATCCATGGTTAAGTCATAACCTTAGTTAGGCTTCTGAGTTTCTCATGGGCAGTTACCTTTGGAAAAGTTTAAAGCCAAAAATACTACCTATTTGTCCTGGCTAAAATCTATTAATAAAAGATTTCAGCAGATTTTCTTTTGAGAGCTCTGTAATCAAAAATCAACTTGATTAAGGCTGATATTGAGCTACATGTGCACAGATAGTATTTTAAAGCCTTTGCTCTCCCTCTAAAAGTTTCTCATTCAATGGAATTCTATCTGATCCTCCATTTACTCCTGTCTGTTCCTCCTTCCTCTTGTATCTAACCATTTTGACTTGCAGGGACCTGAAATTACTTTGCATTATGAAAAAAAATTAACCTTGATGTGTAATTGCTAGATAAAAAATATACTTTTTAAAATGACTAATGGTAGTCGCTTATAGTAAGTGATTATTACTACAGGGTGATACTCTTTTATTTGTACATTTAAATAAGAAAGGTGTGCTCTTATGGGCCGATTACAGAGTGGGCTGATGGGCACTGGGTTGTCCAGCAGCCTTGGGGAAATGTCCTTAAAATGAAACACACTGTGAAAGCATTGCACTGTGTCATGCCATATTATTTGCCTCTTTAGGGGACCCAGGATTTGGTATAAAAATAAGATTCCTCATTTAGGGGAATCTGTTTTGCCTTCCAGCTCTGCCTGCTTACTAGGCCCTAGAAACTGCATGCTTTCCTGGTTCTGTTCCTTATAAGGTTCCACTCCAAAGGCAATAATCCCATTTAAAAACTTAACACGTTTAAGAAAATCTCCACATGTAAGAGTGTCTGCTTTTCCTGGCCATCCTGACTGAACTTTTACCCCCACATTTCTCCTTGCTTTAGATAAAATATAAATTCTCTATAATTATTTCACCTAAGAATTATCCCTTTAAAATAAAAGTTTGGAACTGCCTGGTTAAAACCTTTTTAGGGCAGGGAACAGGTAATCAAGAGACTGACGAGCTAAAATGAAAAAGAAAAACTTCAAAAACTGACAAATGACGAATCCGTATAACTCTACCAGATCTGCTTCTCTATGTCTGTGTATTTATATACTTCATATATGTAGTATTTTGCTAACAAACTATATAAAGAGCTCTAATTAATTGGCATATATATGCACTTAAATAAAATATTTTACCAGAAAAATTTTAACTAAACTGCTCTTTGTTCACATGACTCTAATAATCTTTGAATAATAAAGATAGCTTTAAAGATTATTGGTACAATAAAAGTATTTCTTCAACATTTAGACATTTGGTCTAAATTAGGCAGGTCAGATATTCTCTTTGCTGTTTTAGGTTATAAATATCTGTGACTTTTTGTTAGTGTCCAACCTGCCTGCATTAGAGCCAGCAGCTTCTAGGTAAAGCCTGGGGACATGTTGAGTTAGCCATGCCCCCGAGCTATGTTGGAAAGAGTCAGACATTATCTTCATTTCTGTCCTGTGTCCTAGGCTCTGCACTTGGTACGAAATTAAAATTGCTTTCACTAAAAATAAAAGTTGTGAAGATTTAACATTGTAACACATGTGATTGATACTGCTGAGAAAAGATTTACATTCAAGGTATATAAAAATTACAAAATGTGTTTTTGTAAAAAGTTATAAAAAGACCTGAAGATATTGTTTTTGTTTAAAAAAGTAATCTTGTCTAAATTAGAGGTTTTAAAAATTGTCTTAAGTTAAAAAGTAATAGGAGAAAACAGAAGGTTTAAGCAAGTTATACAAGGTTTGTAAAAGATTGGTCTAGTAAAGAAAGTTCTGTGTGTGAGTGTGAGCAACTTGCCAAAACTTGAAGCAGGTTACTTAGTTTTTCTACAGAATGATCATTAATGTAAAAATCACAGTGATACAGGCCCAGAATCTGCCCCCTTATATGTGATCAACAGAGTTTTCATGGAGCATTAATCAGTTGTTTAGTAGAAAATTGTAAACAGTATGCTCAAACTGATTTAGATTGGACAGATTTGTTTATAAGGTTTTATGTAAAAATTGGGTTTGACATTAATAAAACACTAAGGCAAAGGTAAAATTTGGTTTCTCTTTAAACAAGATTTTTGTATAATACTGAGGGATAATAAAATATTTTTATTTGTCTTTTAAATAAACTGAAAAATGTAGGGGAGAGAGAAGACACAGATTCAGATGGCCTCATGCGGTCGTTGCTTGGTCCTGTTGTTTGGGAGCTGAGTCTCCTCTCTACCAATGAATAAAGGCATTTGCCTTATTAAATTTTTGAGCTATCATTTTGGCTAAACAAATGATTTGTGGTTATCTGGGATTCTATTTCGTGATATGAAGTGTTTTAAACCTTTAATATTTGCACACTTTGAAAAATAAAATTATAAACTAAGAATTTTTATTTTAACTCATTAGCCTTTTAAGTATTAGGTCCCCTGAAGTCCAAAAGAGATATGTTTGGCTTATTTGGTATATTAACCTACAGAAAACACTGTCAAATACAAAATCATGTTTAACTTTCTTTGGGTTATATTTATACAAATATGTTATTAGTATGTATTCCAAAATTATATGGTTCCTATAATTCTAATAGGTCTTAGCATATGTTATCAGTAATAATTATGATTATTACATTGAATTGTTATGTGCCACAGAAATGACCAGATTTCTTTGTCGACTGTATCTTTAACAATGGCCTCGTTGGACACAGTGACTCATGCCTGTAATGTCCTCACTGGGCACGGTGGCTCATGTCTGTAATCCTAGAACTTTAGGAGGCTAAGTTGGGAGGATTGTTTGAGCTCAGTTGTTTGAGATCAGCCTGAGCAAGATAGTGAGACCTTATCTCTACAAAAAATTATCAAAAAATTAGTTGGATGTGGTAGCACTTGCCTGTGGTCCCAGCTCCTCTGGAGGCTGAAGAAAGAAGATTGCTTGATCCCAGGAAGGTGAGGCTACAGTGAGCCATAATTGTGCCACTGCACTCCAGCCTGGGTGGCTTGAGACCCTGTCTCAAAAAAATCAAGTAAAATTATTAAAACAATGACTGTCCTGAGATTATTGTCATCCACAGATTATTGTGGTCTTTTCTTCAACTAGTCAAAAGGTGTTTGCTCTTTGAAATGTTCTCTTGAATATAGGTTTCTGATAACTATAGATTGTGGCATTGAAATAGGAAAAAAAAGAAAACAAAACAAACAAACTTTCAGGACTCTCAGAGATAGCTGGTATGTTTATGAGGACTGCAGGCCCAATGTCAGACAAAGTTCACTGCATGGACTGAACTAATACAAGACCACAATAATCATTTTATGACTCGTTACACAAATAATCAGGCTAAGTATAATAATACCAAAACTTATTTTGCAAATAAATGTGACCTACTATGATACGTCTTAAATAAAAATGAGAACTAGAGAGCAAAACATTGTATTTCAGAAAAATACTATAGCACACCTGTTGTTAGATTCTAGTCTTGTCCATTGTTTTTGAGCTTTTTATTGTTTTCTGCATTTTGGACTGAATCCTGAAACCTCTCAGAGCTAAAGTCCTCAAATTAACACATTCACATTTTTCTTCCACTTTTCTGCCCTGGACTCAATGAAATGGCTACGACCTTCTTCCTGAGGCCCCGCAGGCTGAGTTTATCCCTTGAGATACAGATGTGAAATATGTGAGATTTTTATCACTATCCTCCTTTGCAATTTAAAAATGCTTTGAATCTAACATCTGGATGCATTGTGCCCAATATCAACCTTTGTTATTATGTTCTATTTCCATACCAATGCCTGTTATTAAAAATATTTTTGCCTTAATCACATAAGGGGGCCTAGTTCATTTGCAGTGACACCTCCTGGAATGAAACACAGCTAGGATCTATTCTGAGGACTAGGAAACTAACTAAAAAGATATGAGATGGTATATTTAAATTTGCTCTTTCCTGTTTATCCAAATTTGTCTTTCTAACAACCTCTGACCCAAATCTCTCTTGACTATTGACCCCATGTCTGACTGGTCCTTGGGGCTATTCACCCAAATCCCTCAGGGATTTAGATGAAGTATATAAGGACTTCTGAAGCTAGGACTTCCACTCCTTATATTAGGACTCATTATCCTATAGACAGCTGTTCACTTAAGTGCCGTACTAAAACTGTGGATGAGAGCACTAACATCTTGGCCATGCAAGCCTAGGAACCCCAACCAGGCACCTGTGAACACATGCAGGCAGCTGCAAAGCAGCTTCATTCCATTTACTCTGGGGCCAAACCCTATCTCAAGTATACCCTTTGTCAGCAGGAAGAAGTTAGAATGGTCTTTGGCCTTTTCCCAACTCTGTACCTCACCCGTTAAGAATAAGATGCAATGAAACTTGGAAGGGGAAATTGAAATCACATTTGCAAAAACAGTAACAGTGAGAAAATTATGATAGGGAGAGAGACATGACCTAAGTGACTTCATCTTGCATTTAACCTCCAAGTGGCCCTTGCTTATTCCTGGGTAAAAACAAAACTAACTTTGGGAGAAATTTACTTTGTAGCTGAACTTTGAAACAAAGATAATAACAGCTCCTCCCTGAAACAAAACCCCTCATTGTTTGGGGACCACATCAACTTTGTAAAACTAACAAATTAACCACAATATTAGAAAGTATGGCTCAGAAGTCATACCATCAGAGGCCACAAGATTAATAACCTCCCTGATTGCTCCTATCAATAACATTACTATTGTAAAACCTAAGATTGGTGTTTGAGGTATTTTTCATAACTTGCATCCTGACAGATCAGCGGGTGCCACCCAAACCAGTAAACAGGCTCATCTGGATACGTGGCCCACACCCAGGAGCTGAGTCAGCAAAGAAGATGGCTTTGACTTCCTAAGATTTCATCCCTGACCCAACCAATCAGCATGTCCCTTTCTCTAACCCCTGCCCACAAAACTATCTATAAAAACTCTACCCTCTGAATATTTGGGGAAGCAGTTTTGAGTAATACGAAAACTCTGCTCTCTCCTTTAGCCAGCTCTACATGTATAAAATCTTCTCTACAGCAATTCCCCTATCTTGATAAAGTGACTCTATCTGGGCAGCAGCCAACATGAACCCATTGGCCATTAACAACCCAACTGCTGAATTTTGTATGAAGATAACTTGTTTTGATTTCATGGGCTGACAGAGGAGACTTCAGATTTGGGAACTTTCTGCTGGTGCTGGAACAATTTAAGCCTTTGAACGATAGGAATGAAATAAACTTTTTGTAAGTGACAGGGCGTGATTTTTAGAGTCAGAAGTGGAGGCCTGTGGTTGGAATATTGCTTCCCTCCCAAATTTATGCTGAAATTTAATCCCTAACATGGCGGTATTGAATTGTGAGACTTTTAAAAGGTGATTGGATCATGAAGAGTTTGACCCCATAAATGAATTAATCCTTTCATGGATTAATAAATATTTAAAGATTAATAGTCTACTATGAGCGAAGAGTGGCTTATAAGAAGGGAGACATGTTGTTGCATGTCAGCAAGCTCTACTCCATTGCCATACCATACCCTGTAGACTTCAGAACTCTTCAGAGAGTCCCAACCAGCAACATGATCTCACCACATACAACCTCTCAACCTTAGACTTTTCAGCCTCCATAACTGTATGAAATACATGTGTTTTCTTTATCAACTACTCAGTGTCAGGTATTCTGTTATAAATAACAGAAAATGGACTAAAACAAAGTCTTAGTATTACTATGCCCTGTTATTAAGTTCAATGGATTATTACAACCATTCCAGACAAGAATACAAATGCTCCAGATCTTTCAGGAATGAAGGTTTGCATCATCCTGCCAGGTAAAGACCCAGGACCAGCAGAGGGGCTTGCTGAAGACAAAGAGAATACCGAATGGGTAGCAGTAGAAGGGAGTTACAAATACCAGACAGGGCCAGGAGTGGTGCCTCAAGCCTGTAATCCCAGCACTTTGGGAGGCCAAGGCAGGCAGATCACCAGGTCAGGAGATCAAGACCATCCTGGCTAACACAGTGAAACCCCATCTCTACTAAAAATACAAAAAAAATTAGCCAGGCGTGGTGGCGGGCGCCTGTAGTCCCAGCTACTCGGGAGGCTGAGGCAGGAGAATGTGTGAACCTGGGAGGCGGAGCTTGCAGTGAGCCAAGATCATGCCACTGCACTCCAGCCTGGGTGACAGAGCGAGACTCTGTCTCAAAAATGAAAATAAAAATAAAAAAGTAAATAAATAAATACATACATAACCAGACAGGACTAGGTGACCAGTTACAGAAACAAGGATTAAAATTGTCACTATTATTTCCTATCTACTTTGTTAAGAATACATTTGCGTGTTATATATAAATATATTAGGCAAATAACATTGTTTCTATTTCTCTCTTCTTCTGTTGTCACATAACACAATAATGTATTAACTTGATATTAGCAGTTAAGTGTTAGTAATTTGTACTGAAGTTATGGGGTATCAGGAGAAGAGTAAACATCACCCACAAACTTCTACTACTCTTAAGAAAAATAGTATAGTGTGTTCTCATTGCACACAGGATCATTGAATCATGTTACGTAGAACTATTGCCTTGTTATTGTCTATATCTGAAGATTAGTTAGGGCTTAAGGTGATACATATAGGTGCCAACTAGAAAGGTGCTGGACTTGTCATGGTTAATTTAAGGTGCTGACTGGATTACAGAATACCTAGAGAATTGGTAAACCATTACTTCTGGGTGTGTCTGCCAGGGTGTTTCCAGAGGAGACTGATGTATGAGTCAGGGAATTTAGTGGGAAAAATCCACCCTCAATGGGGGAAGGCAGCATACAATCTCCTTGGGGACTAAACAAAACCAAAAATGAAAAATTTTTAAAAAGTTTTCCTGTCTCTCTTCTGGAGAAAGTATACTCCTTTTCCTGCCCTTGGAAAATAGAACTCCATGATATATGGCCTTCAAACTCCAGAACTTATACCAGTAAATGCCCTGGATTCTCAGGCCATTGGTCCCAAACTAAGAATTACACCAAGAGCTTCTGTGATTCTGAAGACTTCAGCTTTGGAATGAGCCACCACGTTACAGCATCCAAGGTCCTTAAACTCGCAGATGGCTGTCTTGGGAATTCTCCATCTCTATAATGTTACATGAGTAAATCCCCAAACAAAATGCTGTTCATCTAACGATTGTCTATCTATCTATCAACTCTCCATCTATGTATCTATCTACCTACCTAACTACCTCCCTGTAGTTCTGTCTCTCTGAAAAAAAATAACTGACAAATACACCCATAAAGACTTCAGCCAAATGGCACAATACTATGTCTTTCTCTAGTTGCTCCTCCACCACCCCTGCTGCTTATGAGTGTATGTCCTGGAGAGCTCTTCTCTGTCCATCAGCACTTCAAGGAATGCTGCCCTCTTCTTACTGGGATTGGTTAGTAATACATTACGCATGTCATTATACACCTTTTGCTGAGTTGCCTCCTCTGTATTTCACTTTATGAACACATATGGACATCACTTTTCTCCCACTTAGCACTCTCCTAAAGAGTGGTTTCCTTGGTAGAATAAACTAGACACAGGTCAGACAGGAGCCACAGGGTGTCTTACAGTATAAACAAGTACTCTGTGAGAAGGATACCTGGATATAAGCTGGACGGTTGGGCTTTAGGCCATCGACCAGGATAAGTAAGCATCCCATGAAAGGCACAGCCAGTACCAAATCCTGAGTCATATTGGGCAAGGCTATAGGTTATAGTCACCATCCAGAGAGGCCTTAAAGCAAACAGAAGTAAGAATAAAACACACGCTGTGAGATAATTTTATGAACTATGGTTCCAGGAGTCCTAGGGAGGGAAACTAAAAATGGCAAGGCATTATTTGAAAGTTTGCACTGGAGTGGTGGCTCTCCAAAGATAAGGAAAAATCTCAGGTTGGGCGTGGTGGCTTACACCTGTAATCCCAGCACTCTGGGAGGCAGACGTGAGCGGATCAGGAGGTCAGGAGATCAGGACCATTCTGGCTAACACTGTGAAACCCTGTCTCTACTAAAAACAAAAAAAAATTAGCTGGGCGTGGTGGCAGGCACCTGTAGTCCCACCTGCTGGGGAGGCTGAGGCAGGAGAATGGCGTGACTCTGGGAGGGGGAGCTTGCAGTGAGCTGAGGTCACGCCACTGCACTCCAGTCTGGGTGACAGAGCGAGACTCCATCTCAAAAAAAAAAAAAAAAATCTCTATCTAGAGGATTTCAGCCCTAATCATAGAAATATAAACAACGACCTCTGTAACTTATTTATTTATTTATTTAATGGGGTTTAACTACGTTGCCCAGGCTGGAATGCACTGGTTATTCACTAACACAATCATAGTACACCATATAGCCTCAAACTCCTGGTATCACATGATCATCCTACCCACCCTCCCTAGCAGTTGGGACTGACTACAGGTTTGTGCCACCACACTTGCACAGATAAAATTTTAAATCAAGAAACTTGCATTTCTTTTTCTTCTTTCCCATAGTAATTCTAATCATGTGAAGAATGATCATACAAATCATTTTATGATTAGTTACTGCAGATGTAGATGCATTATAGCTTCCATACAATCTTTTATGCTGTCCACTTCTTACTTGGATCAACTTTATTTTTGGATACTTGAGAAGAAGAATGGGTCTTAGTGTTCCCTGAAGAAGAGAGTAAAATAGAAACTCATCTGATTTATATTTTAAAACCTTACTGCATTTGTACCATGAGATTTAGTTCCATGAAGGCTCAAATAAGTTAACAGGAAGACATGATCTCAAATATATGAGCCATGTCTACACTTCTATTTATTTTGAAATAATTTTAGATTAACAGAGAGTTGTTAAAATCTTACATAAATTTGTATATAGCCTTCAATTTCCTGTTATATTAATATCATACACATAACCATAGACTATCTATGAAAACTCAGAAACTGATAAAGGCACAAAACTATTAACTAAACTACTGACTGTCTTCATATTTTACCAGGTTTTTCACTAATGCCATTTTTCCTTTTCTTGGATCTAATCAAGGATAACATATTATGTTTATCATCAAGTGTATTATTGTTTATTGCAGAATAGCCAATTACCATGTAGCTTAGTGGCTCAAAAGCACACACAAATTACTCACAGTTTCTCTGGGTCAGGAATCCAGATGTAGATGATGGCCAAGGCTGATGTCTCACCTGAGGATCAGCTGGGGAGGAATCATCTTCTAAGTTCACATGATTGACCAGGTTGAGAAGAATTCACTGATGAATTATTTGAAACCTTTAAAATATCAACAGCAATTTTTTACTAACCGTTCTCCAAAAAAACAAAATAATAGAGAAGAGATCAGTGTGCAATACATTCTATGAGGCAGTTTCCTCTGAGGCCACAATCAAACAAACGCAGTCCAAACAAGGAAAACTATAAACTAATATGCTTTATGGGTACCCAGGCAATAATTCTCAAGGAAATAGCCTGAACACAAACCAGGATTGTAAAACAGAATTAAACACTAATTTATTTATTTATTTACTCAGGGTCACAAGTTTGGTAAAACCTATAAAAAGAATTAGTGTAATAACTATATTAATATAATAAATAACAAAATTTTCATTATCACATCTAAAGATATGGAATAAGCACTTTCCAATTCAAAAACCCACTCACAGTAAAAACACTAAACAAATTTTGCAGAAAGGGAATGTTCTTACCTAACACAGGCACCCATGAAAAATTCACATGACAACACATGGTATCAAGTAGGTCTCAGTAATTTTCCCAAAATTATAAACACAAAAGGTTATCTATTCCCACTAATTCAACTAAATATTCTTGAGGATGTAATTTATAAAATTAGGCTGGAAAAATAAATATAAGACTTCCAAATTGAAAGGGAAGAAGTCAAACATCTATTGGCCAGTGACATAATCTAATGTATAGAAAATCCTTAAAAATCCACTAAAATAAGGTTGGAACAAAAAAAAATTCAGTCATGATCAATGTAATAAATTGCATTTTATACAATAGAAACTAATCAAATAACGAAACAGAAAACAATTTCATTTAACACGGCATCAAAAAGGAAATATATTTGAAAATAAACCTAATATAACTGTAAGATATATATACTGAAAATTACAAATGATGTTGAAGTATTAAAGAAATCCTAAATAAATGAATAAAAGAGTTAGCATAATATACTATATGAACTAGATTTTCATTGATCAGAAAGCTATTAAGTATTAACCAAGATGCTTATACTTTCTAAATGCATCTTCAGATTCAATACAAGCCCTACTAAAATTCTAACTTTAATTTTTTTTCAATTTTAGCAATTCTTGGACCACTGATTCTAGAACACACAGAAAAATGCAATTGATCTAGAACAGCCCAAAGAATGTTAAATTTTTTTTACAGAAACACAAATGACATTTATAGAAGGTCTGTCCATAGGGCAATGGGGCATAATTCCCCACTTTTTATGTATGTGCTGTGCATACTGATGTTTTTTCCAAAAGGTACAACATGAAAAGTGGAATAATATTAATTTTATTGTTGCGGGAAGTCAGGGACCCCAAACGGAGGGACTAGCTGAAGCCATGGTGGAAGAACATAAATTGTGAAGATTTCATGGACATATATTAGTTCCTGAAATTAATACTTTTATAGTTTCTTGTGCCTGTCTTTACTGCAATCTCTGAACATAAGTTATGAAGATTTCATGGACACTTATCACTTCCCCAATCAATACCCTTGTGATTTCCTATGCCTGTCTTTACTTTAATCTCTTAATCCCGTCATCTTTGTAAGCTAAGGATGATGTATGTCGCCTCAGGACACTGTGATGATTGCGTTAACTACACAAATTGTTTATAAAGCATGTGTGTTTGAACAATATGAAATCTGGGCACCTTGAAAAAAGAACAGGATAACAGTAATATTCAGGGAACAAGAGAGATAAGCTTAAATTCTGACTGCCGGTGAGCCAGGTGGAACAGAGCCATATTTCTCTTCTTTCAAAAGCAAATAGGAGAAATATCGCTGAATTCTTTTTCTCAGCAAGGAACATCCCTGAGAGAGAGAATGCGTCCCTGAGGGGAGGCCTCTAAAATGGCCGCTTTGAGGGCAGCTGTCTTTTACGGTTGCAGCTGTCTTTTACGGTTGCAGCTGTCTTTTACGGTTGTAGCTGTGGGATGAAATAAGCTCCGGTCTCCCGTAGTGCTCCCAGACTTATCAGGACAAGGAAATTCCCGCCCAATAAATTTTGGTCAGACCAGTTGTCTGCTCTCAAACCCTGTTTCCCGATGAGATGTTATCAATGACAATGCATGCCCAAAACTTCTTTAGCAATTTTAATTTTGCCCCAGTCCTGTGGTCCTGTGATCTCGCCCTGCCTCCATTTACCTTGTGATATCTTATTAGCTTGTGAAGCATGTGATCTCTGTGACCCACACCCTATTCGTACACTCCCTCCCCTTTTGAAAATCACTAATAAAAACTTGCTGCTTTTATGCTTCAGGGGGCATCATGGAACCTGCCAACATGTGACGTCTCCCCCAGACACCCAGCTTTAAAATTTCTCTCTTTTGTACTCTGTCCCTTTATTTCTCAGACCGGCTGACACTTAGGGAAAATAGAAAAGAACCCACGTGAAATATTGGGGGTGAATTTCGCCCGATATTATAGTGGACAAAACTGAGCTAAACTGCCTCATCCATGTGATCAAATAACATTAACCATGACAAAGCAGCTGGGCACAGTGGCTCACACCTGTAATCCCAGCACTTTGGGAGCCTGAGGTGAGATGATCGCTTGGGGCCAGGACTTAGAGACCAGCCTGGGCAATGTAGTGAGACTCTGCCTCTACAAATGTAAAAGTAAAATTAAATCATCCAGAGTGGTGGCACATGCCTGTAGTCCCATCTACTCAAGAGGATGAGGTGGAGGATCATTCAAGCCCAAGAATTCCAGGCTGCAGCAAGCTTTGTTCACGCCACTGCACTCCGGCCTGAGCAACAGAATGAGACCCTGTCTCAAAAAAAAAAAAAAAAACTGATACAGCATGTTGACACTATGTACTCTTGTTATAATATCATGAGAATAAAAGTTTCCCTCTGTGGGTTTCCTCTGCTAAATTCACAACAGTCATCCAATCATTAGGAAAACACCAGAGACATCCCAAAGGATTTCAACGATATCAGAAATAAGGAAAATCTGAGAAACTGGCACATGATACCTAAATGTGATGTGGTGTCCTGGGCGGAATCCTGGAACAGAATATGGACATTAGGTGAAAACAGAACATCTGATTAATTGTGAATGTTGCTGAATGATAATGTATAATACTGGTTCATCAATTGCGACAAATGTCTGCAATGAATGTAAGAATTTATAAAAGGGAAATTATGTGTTGAACATATATAAACTCTCTGTATGTACTTGTAACTATTCTGCAAATCCAAACTATTCTAAAATAGATTTAAAAATAAATAAAATATATATATTTTAAAAATTACACTATTGAGCTTACTAAGCAGAACATTGTCGATCTCGTAGTGTCCCAGGTGCTCACCTCCCCATTCCCACCCTTCTTGTTACCTTGGTGAACATTACTATTATGTTTAATTTTCCTTTTCCCATTCACAAATTTTTCTTTCTTAGTTTTGGTCTCTAAATTTGTATTTGTAAATAATGTCCTGTTTGCTGTTTCTTGTCTTCACAAATAGATAATTACATGTCTCTATCTATACTGCTCAGTAAAATTATGAGAAACATTCAGAGAAATCAAAATTTTGATACATTTTACAAAATATGTGACCTGCTTTCTCACAAAGTGAGGACTGAGAACCTGTCCCAGATTAAGCAAGACCTGACGTTGGCAGGTGAACTCTAAGATGGTGCACAATGATCCTCACAGCTTAATTAGAATATCTAATCCTTTCCTTGTGACTTTGGGGAGAACCTGAAACTTGCTATGATACATCAGAAGACTACAACCTGACAGGATGTCACTTGGGTCATCATGTTACCTAAGATTATGATACCTGTCTTGCTGCAAGCTCTCTGTCATGGTGGTTTTCATGACACATTCTGCCATGGGAGAGAAGCCAACATGGGAAATAACTGAATGCAGCTTCTGGCCACAGACAGCAAAAACCTGAGGCTCCTCATCCAGTATCCTGCCCTAGAGGTGGCAATTTATATTTACAACTAATCTAAGCTCCTTTCACATAAAAGTATACAGCCTCAGAAGTAGTGTATCCATCTTATAAAAGAATAGTCCTATTTCTTCCTTTTTCCTGTATTTTTCCTTTTGTCCCTCTTTCCTATCTTTCATTTTACTTATATGTATATATATATATACACATATCTATATATATCTTATGCTTATGAAAATATAATTAAATAATGGCTGCTTTTTTGTTGTTGTTGAAACAGAGTCTTGCTCATCAATTTACTCTTAATAAAATTACAATAAATTTTAATTTTCTATTCTATAATCTACTTTTTTTGAAAACTTCTGAGATTCATATCTCAAATGTTCAATTGTTGTCTTGCTGCTATCAGCTTTTTCTCCCTTTGATGTGGCCTGGGATGATAACTCTATCCTTCAGCTTCTTGTCAGCTCCTGCAACTTTTCTCCTTACTTCTAAATGTTGTTGTGGCTGATGCTGAAATATTTTATCTTAGAGGTCTATAAAAGAAATGTTTTCCTCCAGGATAACCTGATTCTATGCTCTTGGGTTTTTTTTTTTTGGTTGTTGTTTTTGGTGTGTCTAAATTTTCACTGTAATCAGGAAACTTATCATGCAGCTACTAAGAGTCATGTATTCCCCAGTTCTATTCAAAACCTTGTACACACTCTTCCCATGTTTGATTAAATTCAAGCGCTTTTTATCTTAAGTTGTACTTCCAGATTATCTAAATGGGCTTTCTTCTAAGGAGAGGCAGTCACACTAAAAAAGGTTTTCCTTTGACTTTTTGGTAACTGGCTTAAGAAACAAGATTTTACGTTTTATCAAGATAGTTCCTATGCTGCCTTTATTAAGTGTTTAATTGCTTTTTAAAATCTCCTGAAATTTGAAAGGAGTAAGGATTTTATACCCGTGTAACTTTTTCTATTGCCTTTAAAGTCTTTCAGTGATCACTTTGGTTAAATGAATAACTATTGATTTACAAGGACCTGTGGTTCAGTTTTGATCAAATATTTTAAGCTTTCTCACATCTTTCACAGACATCTCCAAAATTGAATCCTAAATTAAGTCTCTGACTTCTTGCTGGGGCTTATCAAAGCTAAAAAATATTAATCACTGTGAAGTGTGTCACCACCTCCAACACCCTGAAAAAGTTCTTATCAGGTGCTATTAAGTAATCTTTGTGGTGTTAAGGTTCAAGGAATTGACTCCTGGATACATGTAGCTCCTCTAAAGAAGACACAGACTCCTGCCAGCATCTAACACCAAACTCAACTTAACCAAAGCCTCATCTTTAGACTCAAGCAAAGGCAATAAAGTACACTGCTTTCATGCAACACAGGGACAGGCCTGTATTAAACTTTATTTAATAATTTTCCTTCTATCTGAAATAGAAATATATGAAATATAATTTATTCTGTGCCTTAATATTAAATAACTGAAATGTTTATCTATCTATAGGCTTCCTTTCCTGTCACTCATTCTTTTTTTTTGAGATGGAGTCTCCCTCTCTTGCGCAGGCTGGAGTGCAGTGGCACGATCTTGGCTCACTGCAATCTCTGCCTCCCGGGTTCAAGCAATTTCCCTGTCTCAGCTTACCGAGTAGCTAGGACTACAGGCACCCACCATCACACCCAGCTATTTTTTTGTATTTTAGTAGAGACGGGGTTTTACCGTGTTGGCCGGGATGGTCTCGATCTCCTGACCTCGTGATCTGCCCATCTCAGTCCTGTCACTCTTAAAACAAGACAAGGCTTACAGCATTTTTGCTTAAAATGTTGTTAATGGTGAATATTTTGTTTTATTAATATATCCAGAACTTAAAACTGTTCAGTTTCTCCAGACCCAGGGACTATCATGGAATATACGAATGCATGAGATTGTAAGGGCTGGTTCTTGTGGAATAAAATTAATTCAGACCCCCCAAATAAAGGATGGGCATACAGATGCCTAAACAGCTAAATAAAATACTTATGTTTTGTATAGCTATAGTTCCTATAAGCCAAGATTACAACAGCTCAATGCATAAAATTCAGAGACAATGCAGTTATATAACCTTACCTTTTGACTTTTAGTTTTTGGCTCTTACATTGCTTAAAAGGGGTTTTAAGGACTAATGTCTGCCTGCCCACATTCATTCCAGTCTGGCCTACAGACTGGAATTGGATATAATTGGATATAAGACTTTTGATTCTAAGTCCCTTGGCCATAGTGGTCCCACTAAGGAACATGATGGACACAGGTCAGGTAGCACGCCGCTCTGCCATTGACATGAGAGAAAATAAAAGTGTGGCTACCCATACTGCCTCTGGCATACCTTGACAAAAAAGGAGAATATAAACTACAAAATAAAGTCCTAAGCCCCCATCAACTTAATGGACACTCCCTACCCCCATGTTAGCCAAGGCAATCTAAAAAACTAATTCAGGCCATGACAACCAGAGGGGTGATGAACAGGCTTCACTATACCTTGCTCCCATCGTGGGAATTTATGCACAACTGATCAGCATTAACATTACAATAAAAACTGTAAAACAGACTATAACAATAAAATACCAAATTATGAACAGGACTTAAGAACATGCCAGGCAAGAGTTAAGTCTCACATCCCTACAGTTTAAAAAAAGCAGACTATGTTTACAGCTGCCACAAGGTTTGTGTTTCTCTAGCAGCCAAGCAAGCACTAGCCTCAAGATAAGCTGACTGACTGACCCCAGCCACGTTCCACCAGCCATAACTACAGATTGAAGTAGACAAGAGACCAATTTCAGTAATTTTCTCCTGATAAAAGATCACTCACCATAAGCTAGTTTTGGCCGGTTTACAGTAAATGCACACTTGCATGCCTTTGTCTTCAAAAGAACTTTTGAAATATAGGGCATAATTATAATACATTTAAAAGTTAAGTCCCTGCCCCAAAATAAATGAGTTGCATGTTCCATGGATATTTGTTAATAAACATAGGTCAGCACCACCTTCATGAATATTTGCAACTCCTCCTGTAGCCTGTTAAGTATGTATAGTTAACCGACTTGTCCTCATACCTCCACAGGAGCTCTGGGTACAACTGGCATTTGGGGCTTTGCACTATAATTAAGACTAAATGCTGTGTGGACTTCCTGGATAATTCTAGAAACATATCCTCAGCCCTAAAAGACATGCACAAGCAAACTAATGCTATGTCTAATCTCAGGATGTCTTTAAATCATATGGCTTTAGATATCTTCACTGTAGCCCAGGGTGGCACTTGTGCATTCATTAAGACTGACCATTTTATACACATACACACACACACACACACACACCAGATTATTCTCACAATATAACCCAAGCTATGCATGTAGATACCCATATTTCTGTTAAAGATGCCCTCTCTCAGGACTCTATGACTTCATGATTTAGTCGGCTTCTTGGTGCATCAAATACTTTTATATATATTATTAATACTGCTAAATGCCCTCTTCAGCTGCTATGAATTTTATTGCTGTTGTACACTCTGCATGGAGATGCAGGAAATCATTCTCAGAAATTCTTGGATCCTCACACCATACATGCACAGTAAGTTCCTGCTGAAAACTCAAGAATATTTCCAACTCCAAGTAAACAGATTTCATTCTAATGCTCTATAACTATGCCCCCTTTCAGTAGGAAGCAGACCAAGTGAGTATGATGCTCCAATTGAATAAAAATAAAGTGGAATGTGACAGTGGGGTGTTGTAACCAAGTACTTCATTTTCCTTAAAAAATATGTACTTTTTCTCTTTTTCCTGTGTGTTCATGTCTTACTTAGCTCCTTAGAAATGCAAATTCAAACTTTTCCGTCCTTCTTTTCCACCAGCCAAACCACCAGCACGCACTGTCAGCTTAGCTAAGTATATGTTTGCTTACAAATTACCAAATCTTGAACCAAAACAAGCATCCGCCAGAATTCTCCTCCATACAGAGATGGTCTCAAGACCTCAGTTAATCCACAACCTGACTCTTTCCCCAGTGATGCTGGGCAGGCTAACGAATCACCCAAGACTAGAGATAAGTCATCCAGCAAGTCATATAGGTCCTGCACCTCCACACCCCTTCTGCATGCCCTGCTTGCCAATATTTCTTCTTAAAATCCTGTTTTCTGCCCAGAAAACTTATATGGTTCCTTTAGATATGAATCCCGCCCTTCCACATTGCTAAGCTCGGGAATAAAGTGACTTTCTTTTTGTTTTTTGGAGACGGAGTCTCGCTCTGTCCCCCAGTAGCTGGGATTACAGGCACATGCCACTGTGCTCGGCTAATTTATGTATTTTTAGTACAGAGAGGGTTTCGCCATGTTGGCCAGGCTGGTCTTGAAATGCTGACCTCAGGTGATCATCCCGCCTCGGCCTCCCAAAGTGCTGGGATTACAGATGTGAGCCACCGCGCCCGGCCAGTGACTTTCTTTTTACTACCCTTCTGTTACTTGATTTTGGAAGTGGCCATGGCCAAACCTGGGTTTCGTAACAAAATGGTGCCAGGCTGTGATACGATAGATGAGGGGCACTTTTTTCCTTAAAGCAGGATCTGTCAATTCTGTGTACAGCACTGAAGCCCACAGACCCTGACTGCTGCCATACCTAGCAGGGCAAGTGCCCATCTATTATTACATATTCCCATAAAATACCAGTATTTTTCTCTGTTGATTGCTCATGTCTCACACATCTTGAACAAGTATTCCCAACCCTCGCATGTTTTTTGACTAAGACAACAAAAATTAAAATTAAAAAAGAGCATAAGCATGAAAGCTTTTTGAGAATATTAAGGTAGAGGAAAATGACAATAAATAAAAAATTGAAATTCCCTTTTTACAAGTCAATGGCACAAAAGTATTTTCTGATTACAGCACTCAATGTACACATTTTCTAAGTGGTATTTTTTATATCTCTGAGAACTAAAACCAAATTTAATAATCACTCATGAAAAATAAGAAAAATTAATATCTAATAGAATAGGTGATCTGTAAAAAGAAATGTCATGTAGACATTTATGGAAGTGAGGTGGAAGGAATTATGGAGTCCAGCCATTGTCTAAATCTTTGTATAAGGAGAAGATAAAGCAACATCATGAAGTTCACACCTGCACAGTTAAGAAATGGTTGCTCCTTGTATTCAGACGTGACTGCTACACAAATCAATGCCTTGTTAACCTTCCACATGTACAGCAAACTAAGCCATATAATGGAAAGTTTTACACATCTTTTTAAGCATAAGGATCTGAGCCAATTTTGCCTTGTGGCTTCCAGAACAGTTTCTGTCCTTCTCCTTTTCAACCAGAGATATTTCAGAGAAAATTTGCACAAAAACATAGAGAATGTGTAACATCTGTCTTTTCTAATAAAAGTGATATTCACATTCAGTTTAGGAGAGAGAAATACGAGAAAAGATTAAAATATTTAAAAGTGTTCATTGAAAAATAATTGTGAATGCATTTTTAAAACAGAGGACTAAAGACCTTAAACACACAACACAAAAATAAAAATTTGGTTTTAGATAATGTTTATGAGAACAAAAAAAGAAAAAAAATATACCCAAGTGTTAAACACATTTGCACAACAAATCATATCAAAACCAGGATAAATATTACAATGCAAGAAATAAAGTCTTAAGGTATCACTCGTCAGCCAGCAGAATCAGTATTGAATAAACTCAGCCTTATTCAAAAGAACTGAATTCCCCACCTCACCAACAGAAAGGACAGGGAGCTGCTGCCCTTGTGCATGGAGACCCCATACAGTGGCTCTGAGCTCAGAGGCTCCCATGTGGCTTTGACTTTGGTGGGCATGGTCTGGAGGAGAAACAACCTGTCACAGGGGAATCTACACCAGTGCAGGAGGTTACTATGGGTGCATCTCAAGGTTTTCAATATTACTGGCTGTTGTTGAAAGTATTTATACATAAAGTGGGGAGTGGTGTTGGGGGATTGTCTCAGATTCACAAGGATATTAAGGGATTTAAGAGTCTACAGCAACGTTCTAAGTTCTAAACCAGCCGGGTGCAGTGGCTCCCGCCTGTAATCCCAGCACTTCAGGAGGCTGAGGTGGGTGAATTGCTTGAAATTGGGAATTGGAGATCAGCCTGGGCAACAAGGTGAAACCCCATCTCTACAAAAAATACAACAACAAAAAAAATCTAACTGGGCATGGAGTTGTGCACCTGTGATCCTAGCTACTTGGGAAAGTGAGGTGGGAGGATCGCTTAAGCCCAGAAGTCGAGGCTCCAGTGAGCCAAGATCTTGCCACTGTACTCCAGCCCAGGTGTAAGAGCAAGATCCTGTCAAAAAAAAAATTAAAATTTATTTTTTTTAAAAAAGTTCTACACCTACAGCTTTATTTAAGGTACAGCTGAAAGTATTGGTGTAGGTGCAAGACATGCAGGTTGTTACATTTTTTACTTCATTATAGAGAAGTACCATGGCTAAAAGAAGAGGCTCTGGGCCAGGCACAGTGGCTTATGTAAAGTATAAAATAAATATCCATGTTTAGATGATGACATAAATAATTTATGTATAAATGAATAAATGTGTAGTAGAATAGACACGCTTACAGTTGAGAGTTCAAATAAATTTGTAGACATTCTGCCAATAAAAAGGTAGATCGTGAATCCCCACTTTTTTTTTTTTTTTTGAGATGGAGTCTGGAGTCTCGCTCTGTTGCCCAGGCTGGAGTGCAGTGGCGTGATCTCAGCTCACTGCAAACTCTGCCTCCCAAGTTCAAGTGATTTTCCTGCCTCAGCCTCCCGAGTAGCTGGGAGTACAGGCGTGTGCACTGTGCCTAGCTAATTTTTGCATTTTTAATAGACACGAGCTTTCGCCATGTTGGCCAGACTGGTCTCGAACTCCTGACCTCAGATGATCTGCCTGTCTCAGCCTCCCACAGTGCTGGGATTACAGGCGTGAGCCATCATGCTTAGCCCATGACTCCCCACTTCTTAAATGTGTGTTGTGTTAGTGACTTTGTTCTGAAACATTCTATGGGGAAAGGGAAAAATAATAATTTCACCGTGTGTGACAATTTGATAAAAATGACCTCATCTAGGTGATCAAATTAACATTAACAGTGATAAAGCCTGTTGAGAGCCTGTGCCCTTGGTATGATGTGAGGAGAATGGCACCTTTCCTCTGTCATCTTCCTCCCCTAAACCCACAAATCTAGTCTCATCATGAAAAAAAACCTAAAAAGAAATCCCACATTAGGAATGTCAATGCCATCAAAAACTAGGAAACGCTAAGAAACTGCAACAGTCAGAGAAATCTAAGGAGACGTGATATTTAACTGTGCTGAGGTATCTTGGACAAGGTCCTGGAATAGAAATTAGACATTAAGTGAAAACTAAGAAAATCTGAATAAAGTATGAAGAGTGGATAATGATACTGTTTAAAATTGGTTAATTGTGACAAATGTCCTACATTAAGAAGTTAATAAAAAGAGCAACTGTAGTGGGATATATGGAAAGTCTATGTTATATATTTAAAACAATTCTGTAAATCCTAAACGATTCTTAAATGTATAAAGTTTCTTTTTATTTAAAGTCACTGCTGACCTCATAAAATAGAACATGAGCAATATGTTGATAGCCATTAATGGATCTCCTTAGCTTCATCATCTTCCTTAATCACTGAAGGTAACTATTACTGTGAATTTATTTGTTATCCTCTAATTTGTGCTTGTTATATTTATCTCTATGTTTATATTTCTAATATCTATGATGTTTAGTTTTTCTTGTCTTCAAACTTAGATGACATGTGTTTAATGTATACATGTCCCTAATTTAATCATGAGAAATCATGAGACAAATCCATACTGTGGGATATCTTACAAAATATCTGACCTGTACATTTCAACAGGGTCAAGGTCAAGAAAAAGAAGTGAAGACTATGAAACTTGCAGATTGGAGAAGACCTAATGTGTCAGTTAGACCCTGCAATGGTGCCCAACGATCCCCACCTGCAAGAAATACCTGTGCTTTGTTGAGTTGCCTCCTCCGTGGCTCACATGACCAACACATGTGAGCTCAACTTTTCTCGAACTCAGAGCTCTCCTAGACAGTGGCTACATTGGTGGGAATGGAGTGGACACAGGTCGAACAAGTGCCACAAGGGTGTCTGACAGTATAAACAAATATCCTGTGAGAAGGATGCTGGGTCAAAGATTGTACACTTATGCTTTGGGGTATCCATCAGGATAAATAAGTATCCCAGGAGAGGCACACTGTAAACATCCAGGACACAGTTTCCTGGAGTCCTGTTGGGCAGGGTGATAATTTATAGTCACTGTCCCTAGAGAGACCTCAAGAGATTATTAGACATAACAAAAATACAAGAGATGTAGAGGTGATTTTATAAATTATGGCTCAAAGATCCCATGGAGAAGGAAGATAGAAATGGGTCGCTGGGTCAGATGCCTGGCAGAGATTTCAAGGGAAGGCTCATCTGGGGAAGGATCCCCTTCCAAGCTCCTGGGATTCTTGGGAGGATTCAATTTCTGTCCAGGTCAAGAAGACTTCACTGGTGAGTTATTCAAAGCCTTTTGGGAATTAATAACAATCAATAAAAACAGACGAGTAGAGAACTTTTCCTAATGCAATGTATGAAGCCAGTGTTCCCTGACACCACAGCTAGACAAAGACATTTCAAGAAAAGAAAATTATAGACCAATGTGAAACAGGTAAAAAGTATCAAGGAAATATTATCAAAATTAATTAGTAACATATAAAAAGGAGTATACACTAGGAACAAAACTATTTATCCCTGCAATGTAAGTCTGGTTAAACATATAAAAACAATTGGTGTTATAAACTATACTAATAGAATTTTTTAAAAAGACTCATGGTCGGTCACCTCTAAAGATACAGAATAAGCATTTGACAAATTCCAAACCCATTCATGATAAAAGCTCTGGGAAAATTAGGCATAGAAGAAAACTTTCTAAACCTACAAAGAGCATCCATGGAAAACTCACATAACATGAGGAAAGACATATAAGCCAACAGAATAGAGTTGAGCACCCCAAAATCAATCTTTATATATAGGGCAAACTTATTTTCAAGGTTGAAAAATTAATTCAACATGAAAAAATAGTTTTTCAACAAATGTTGCTGGGAGAAAGGGATATCCACAGCAAGTTAAACTGTTTCCTGCACCATATATGTATTTGACTCAGAATATGTGGCTAAATGTAAGAGCTAAAACTAAAAATCCCACAGAAGAGAACATAAAAATAGATTTTCATGGCCTTACATGAAACAATGGATTCTAACATGTGACACAAAAGTAAAAGTGACAGAAAAAAAAATAGATACATTGAACTTCATGTGGATCAATACCTTTTAAGATGCAACGTACACCATCAAGACAACTGAAATAATGGAAGAAGATATTCTCAAGTCATATAACTGTTAGGAGACTATTATCCAGAATATATGAAACATTCAGGCATGCACCACCACACCCGGCTAATTTCTGTATTTTTAGTAGAGATAGGGTTTCACCATGTTACTTAGGCTGGGCTCAAACTCCTGGCCTCAAGTGATCTACCCACCTGAGCTTCCCAAATTGCTGGGATTACAGGCATGAGCCACCATGCCCAGCCTCACTCTTCATTATTATTTTCTATATTTGTATTTCTAAATAATATATTGTGCAGGTATTTTTTTGTCTTCAACATTAGACAAATACGTGTATAAATTAATGTTTATTCTTACTCAAATTATGAAAAAAAAATAACAAATCCATATTGTGATACATCCTATGGAACACCTGACAAGTTCTTTTCACTAAGATCAAGGGCAAAAAAATAAGTGAAGACCCAGAAACTGATACAGATTAGACAGGGCCTGATGTGGCAGGTAGGTTCTAAGATGCTTCCCAATGATCCACACCTCTAGATATGAAGAACCCAATTCTAATATCCTCACTGTGAGGTTTAGACATGTCATAACACATGTATAAACAAACACAAAAGAGGCAAAGTGTATGGAACAATGATTTGTAAGAGAGAATATATAAAACAGTGAAGGACAGTGATACCTGAGACATACAATAGCGTGACATGAGCTCTACCATTGCCTGAATATACCACCTTGGGAGATGTTCCAGGCTGTGGTGTGGCACGGACTTTGGAAGACACTGTGAGTTGAGAAGATGGAACTGACAGTCGAGTACAGACTGGCTGGATTGCATCTAGCATTTCTTCCCATCCAGTGGTAAGAATGGGAGACAGCATCCATGTCAGCATCCATGCAGGCTGGACTGCTAGTGTCATCATTACTCACTGAAATATGGTTCACAGAAGTACAGGAGCAACGCAGATACATAGGCAAAGAAACAAAGAAAAGTCACTTGAATGAAGATTTAATATTGCAAAAAGATGGACACCTTTACATGTTGTAGCAAAACCAAGGCTTAAAAAATAACCATTCGAGATAAAGTAAATGATGTGTATAAGTCGAATGAACCAACCAAGTGGACACATACCTACTCTTACTATACAATTTTCATACAGGTGGCTGATAAACTCACTATATTATAAAATAATGAAAGTGCAGCTTTCTATTTATAAGAGCAGAACACAATTATCAGAAAAATAAGGATTAAAATATTTTTACCCCCATTTATTTCCCTATAAAACCTTAAGTTTGCTTTATATTTGGAAAATAATTTGTCACTTTCTTCACTACATAAATTCCACTGCCATTCTAGTTTGCATGGAGTATAGGATTGCTATTTTTATGCAGTAAAATTAAGTTAAATGGTGCCAGGCTGCAATATAAAAATGAGGGGTTGTTATTATTGTTATTTTAATCAAGATCTGTCATTGAAATTCTCTGTGTATAGTATTGAAGCTAAGAGACCCTGACTGCAGCCCTAACTGGAAAATCAAATGCCCATCTACTGATTTGGAGCACTTGTTAAATATCAGTGTTCACGCTCTCTTGGTTGCTCACATCTCATAAATCTTGGACAAATGTCCCCTATGTCCCCAGAATAATTTTAGAGCATTATATTGATTATTACCTTTCTTGTACAGTAGGCATATGTTATTGAGTTTCAACGACTCATTCTGTATGAATGCTTCACTCACAAGAGGATGTGTTGTCAACATAGTCGTGTTGGAATTAAGGCACTCCTCACTGCAAGCTCTCAATAAATTCTGGTCTGTTTGTTGGAGTCCTGCTAAATTATATCTGAAAATGGGGCTTTTTGAGACATGCGAGTAATAGGCATCTGTCTTTCAAAAACTGGTTACGTAGTTAGCACCAGATGCTAAAACTGGTGAGTGAAAAATGCGGAATATGATGAAGAAGATGAAAGAGGATGAGTCTCTGGAACTTGGGGGGATCTTCCTGAAGCAAGTGTACCTGTGTTCGAGTTGGTAAATCAATATGGAAAGATGCTTTGCTATTCTCTCTCTACGTGCCCTTTCATCTCCTGAGCTGAAGGTATTCTGTTTGTGCTTTGAGATTATTTTCATATCACATTTAATGCTTTTTTCAAAAACATTTTTTCTTTGAAATAATTTTAAATACACAGAAATATGCAAAGATACTACAGAAAGCTTTAGATATCTTTGAATTACATGCAATGTAATAGATTATGTAACCATGAGCCCTAAAAAACAGTTGGCACAAAACTATTTATTGAAGTATAGGCTTTTTCCATATTTTACTAGGCTTTTAAGTAATGTCATTTTTCTGTCCAGGATACCACATTGCATTGACTGTCAGGTGTATTATTTACTGCTGAATAATAAATTCTCACACACTGAGTGGCTCTTACTCACAGTTTCTCTGTATCATGAATCCAGATGTAGAGGATGGCCAAGGACGAGGTCTCAAGCGAAGGTTCAGTTGGGGAAGGCTCCTCTTCCAAGTTCGTGTGATTGTTGTTAGGAGTCAAGGCCCTGTGCTGGTTGAGATGACTTCACTGGTGAACTATTCTAAACCTGAAAATAATTAATAACAATCTATCACAAACTCTTCATAAAAACTTAAACAACAGTAAAAGTGGAGAAGAGATCACTTCCTGATGTATACTATTAGTTTACACTGATATTAAAACTAAAGCAAGACATCTCAAGAAAGAAAAATTAAGACCAATATCTTTTATAAATAGAGGGTAAATGTCTTCAATAAAATGCTAGCAATACAAATCAGCAAATGTAAAAAGAATTATACACCATCACCAATGGTATTTGTCCCAGGAATGCAAATTTGGTTCAACATACAAAATAATTAGTGTCATGACCTATAAGAATAAAATAAAAAACAAAAGCCATATGATCATCTCAAAAGATGCAGGAAAGGCACCTGACAAATCTAAAATCCATTTTTGATAACAGTATACAACAAATTAAGCCTATAAGGAAAGTTTCTTTATTTTAAAGGGCATCCATGAAAAACTCAGTATCATCATAATTTAATTTAAAGGCTCAATAATAGCATAAACTTGGACATACAGATCAAAGGAATATGGTAGAATTGAATGTCCAAAAATTAATCTTTACCTTTATAGTCAAATGATTTTATAAGTCTGCCAAGCCAATTCAATATGGAAAAATATATTTTAACAAATGTTGCTAGGACAATTGAATATCCACAAGGAAGTTGAACTTCTCACTCACACCATATACATAATTGGCTCAAAGTAATCATATATCCAAATGTAAGAGCTAAATAGACCAAACCCTTAGAAGATAATATAGAAATACATAATTTGGGTCTTAGCTTAAACAATAACTCCTATAATTTCTAAGATATGATACTTAAAGCCCAAGAAAAGGAAATTAAAAAATGAATATATTTAACTTTGTAAGAATTAAAAATTTCTGAGATTCAAAGTACATAATTAAAAGTGAAAAGATAACACAAAGAATAGAAGAAAATCTTCACAATCACATAGCAGAAAAGAATATATTAGCCACAATATATAAAATATTTTACAACTCAAAATAAAAAGGCAAATATCACAATCAAATTGGTGAACTATCTGAATAGACATGTATCCAAAGATACTATAGTCACATCTAGTAAGCACATGATATGAGGCCTAAGTCTTTTGTCATTAGGAAAATGCAACTCTAAACAACCATGAGATACATTTCACAAATCTAAAGGGTATATTGCAAAAAAAAAGTAAATTTAAAAAGGCAAAATACTTTGTGTGGTTTCGGTTATGTGACACTCTGCAATGTGAAAAAGCATAGAGATAATAAAATGTTTGGTATTTACTAGGAGCTTGGAAAAGAGGCAGGCCAAATTGGTGAGGTACAGCAGATTTGCTCTAGGCAGTGAAATTATTCTGGTATCATACTGTAATGATAAATACGTGATTATATTTTACAAATCCTAAATAACTTTGTAATACAAAAAGTGAACTTAAAATATAGAAATTAAAACCCTTCTACAGTAGGTAGCAGATAGCATGGGGCTATACACATAATAGAATTAAATAACACATCAGTGAAATAACCTCACTGAATGGAGGGGGGAAAGCAGCTGACCCAAGGAACGTAGCAAGTAAGTGGATATTCTGAGTCTAAAGGGTAAAGATTTATCCCTAAAAACTTTAGTTGGTAAAGTTCTTTCTCATGGCCATATACATTTCTAATTCTGAAACCACTTATACAAGTCTTTTGGATTATGTGATTAAATAACAGAAGCATCTTTATCACTGTTAGTGTGGTAGGCTACACACAAGTAAGCGGGAATAGGTGCAGTGATTCACGTGGTACTGGATTAGATCATGGGGTGCTGGAGGATTATTAGGAATTCATGTTTAACTTAAAGATACAGATATATGAGAAAATATTTGTGTGTGTGTGTGTGTTTCTGTGTGTGTGTGTGTGAATCAGTGTACATAGATGTATTTGCTCTGTCAGCACACAAGATCACGAATCAACAGATGCCCCAGGAGCAATGAATATGTCAAGAGCCCAGATCTCCATTTCTCATTCAATTTTCCAATAAGAAGAACTAGGGCTCTGTGGAAAAAATGGTTAATACCAGGCTTGTGAGGAAATCCACACAATTAGCTTAAGCACCTAGTAGTGCCAGAAAAAATAAAACGCCAAACAACAGAGCAAACAACTAACCAACCACATAACAATAGCAAAGCTTCATTATGGTAGTGTTTCAAAATGACAAACGATCCAACTGAAAGACCTTCCAATAGCCAACACTGCAACAATTTAAACAAATAAATGAAGTAGTAGAAGGAAAGAGTAAAACAAATATCCATGTTTGCATACTGACAAAAATGACTGCATAAATATAACGATTATTGGAGGAGAATAGACACTTTCAGGATGAAAGGTCCAAATAACTTTTGGTAAACATTCTGCTCATAAAGTGGAGCATTTTTTGTTTTGTTTGTTTTTTTTTTTCAAGATGGCAGATTGGAGACTTTGTTAGTGT